>NC_000018.10:19183030-19347498 GCF_000001405.40 Homo sapiens
AGCATTCTCAGAAACTTGTTTGTGATGTGTGCCCTCTACTGACAGATTTGAACCTTTCTTTTCATAGAGCAGTTTTGAAACACTCTTTTTGTAGAATCTGCAAGAGGATATTTGCATAGCTTTGAGGATTTCGTGGGAAACGGGATTGTCTTCAGGTAAAATCTAGACAGAAGCATTCTCAGAAACTTCTTTGGGATGTTTGCATTCAAGTCACAGAGTAGAACATTCCCTTTGGTAGAGCAGGTTTGAAACACTCTTTTTGTAGTATCTGGAAGTGGACATTTGGAGCGCTTTCAGGCCTATGTTGGAAAGGGAAATATCTTCCCGTAACAACTAGGCAGAAGCATTCTCAGAAACTTATTTGAGATGTGTGTACTCAACTAAGAGAATTGAACCACCGTTTTGAAGGAGCAGTTTTGAAACACTCTTTTTCTGGAATCTGCAAGAGTATATTTGCCTAGCCTTGAGGATTTCGTTGGAAACGGGATTGTCTTCAGAGAAAATCTAGACAGAAGCATTCTCAGAAACTTCTTTGGGATGCTTGCATTCCAGTCACAGAGTAGAACATTCCCTTTGGTAGAGCAGGTTTGAAACACTCTTTTTTTAGTATCTGGAAGTGGACATTTGGAGCGCTTTCAGGCCTACGTTGGAAAAGGAAATATCTTCCCATAACAACTAGACAGAAGCATTCTCAGAAACTAGTTTCTGATGTGTGTCCTCAACTAACACAGTTGAACATTTCTTTAGACAGAACAGTTTTGAAACACTCTTTTTGTGGAATCTGCAAGTGGCTATTTGGCTAGATTTGAGGATTTCGTTGGAAACGGGATTACATATAAAAAGCAGTCAGCAGCATTCTCAGAAAGTTCTTTGTGATGATTGCATTCAAGTCACAGAATTGAACATTCCCTTTCACAGAGCAGGTTTGAAACACTCTTTTTGTAGTGTGTGTAAGTGGACATTTGGAGCACTTACCGGCCTAAGGTGAAAAAGGAAATATCTTCCCATAAAAACTAGACAGAAGCATTCTCAGAAACTTACTCGTGATGTGTGTCCTCAACTAAAGGAGTAGAACCTTTCTTTTCATAGAGAAGTTTTGAAACGCTCTTTTTGTGGAATCTGCAAGTGGATATTTGGCTAGTTTTGAGGATTTCGTTGGAAGCGGGAATTCATACAAATTGCAGACTGCAGCGTTCTGAGAAACATCTTTGTGATGTTTGTATTCAGGACACAGAGATGAACATTCCCTATCATAGAGCAGGTTGGAATCACTCCTTTTGTAGTATCTGGAAGTGGACATTTGGAGCGCTTTCAGGCCTATGTTGAAAAAGGAAATATCTTCCCATAACAACTAGACACAAGCATTCTCAGAAACTTATTTGAGATGTGTGTACTCAACTAAGAGAATTGAACCACCGTTTTGAAGGAGCAGTTTTGAAACACTCTTTTTCTGGAATCTGCAAGTGGATATTTGGCTAGCTTTGGGGATTTCGCTGGAAGCGGGAATACATATAAAAAGCACACAGCAGCGTTCTGAGAAACTTCTTTCTGATGTTCGCATTCAAGTCAAAAGTTGAACACTCCCTTTCATAGAGCAGTCTTGAAACTCCCCTTTTGTGGTATCTGGAAGTGGACATTTGGAGTGCTTTCAGGGCTAAGGTGAAAAAGGAAATATCTTCCCATAAAAACTGGACAGAAGCATTCTCAGAAACTTGTTTATGCTGTATCTACTCAGCTAACAAAGTTGAACCTTTCTTTTGATAGAGCAGTTTTGAAATGCTCTTTTTGTGGAGTCTGCAAGTGGATATTTGGTTAGTTTTGAGGATTTCGTTGGAAGCGGGAATTCATACAAATTGCAGACTGCAGCGTTCTGAGAAACATCTTTGTGATGTTTGTATTCAGGACACAGAGTTGAACATTCCCTATCATAGAGCAGGTTGGAATCACTCCTTTTGTAGTATCTGGAAGTGGACATTTGGAGCGCTTTCAGGCCTATTTTGGAAAGGGAAATATCTTCCCGTAACAACTATGCAGAAGCATTCTCAGAAACTTGTTTGTGATGTGTGCCCTCTACTGACAGAGTTGAACCTTTCTTTTCATAGAGCAGTTTTGAAACACTCTTTTTGTAGAATCTGCAAGAGGATATTTGCATAGCTTTGAGGATTACGTGGGAAACGGGATTGTCTTCAGGTAAAATCTAGACAGAAGCATTCTCAGAAACTTCTTTGGGATGTTTGCATTCAAGTCAAAGAGTAGAACATTCCCTTTGGTAGAGTAGGTTTGAAACACTCTTTTTGTAGTATCTGGAAGTGGACATTTGGAGTGCTTTCAGGCCTATGTTGGAAAGGGAAATATCTTCCCGTAACAACTAGGCAGAAGCATTCTCAGAAACTTATTTGAGATGTGTGTACTCAACTAAGAGAATTGAACCACCGTTTTGAAGGAGCAGTTTTGAAACACTCTTTTTCTGGAATCTGCAAGAGGATATTTGCCTAGCCTTGAGGATTTCGTTGGAAACGGGATTGTCTTCAGATCAAATCTAGACAGAAGCATTCTCAGAAACTTCTTTGGGATGTTTGCATTCAAGTCACAGAGTAGAACATTCCCTTTGGTAGAGCAGGTTTGAAACACTCTTTTTTTAGTATATGGAAGTGGACATTTGGAGCGCTTTCAGGCCTACGTTGGAAAAGGAAATATCTTCCCATAACAACTAGACAGAAGCATTCTCAGAAACTAGTTTCTGATGTGTGTCCTCAACTAACACAGTTGAACATTTCTTTAGACAGAACAGTTTTGAAACACTCTTTTTGTGGAATCTGCAAGTGGCTATTTGGCTAGATTTGAGGATTTCGTTGGAAACGGGATTACATATAAAAAGCAGACAGCAGCATTCTCAGAAAGTTCTTTGTGATGATTGCATTCAAGTCACAGAATTGAACATTCCCTTTCACAGAGCAGGTTTGAAACACTCTTTTTGTAGTGTGTGTAAGTGGACATTTGGAGCACTTTCCGGCCTAAGGTGAAAAAGGAAATATCTTCCCATAAAAACTAGACAGAAGCACTCTCAGAAACTTACTCGTGATGTGTGTCCTCAACTAAAGGAGTAGAACCTTTCTTTTCATAGAGAAGTTTTGAAACGCTCTTTTTGTGGAATCTGCAAGTGGATATTTGGCTAGTTTGGAGGATTTCGTTGGAAGCGGGAATTCATACAAATTGCAGACTGCAGCGTTCTGAGAAACATCTTTGTGATGTTTGTATTCAGGACACAGAGTTGAACATTCCCTATCATAGAGCAGGTTTGAATCACTCCTTTTGTAGTATCTGGAAGTGGACATTTGGAGCGCTTTCAGGCCTATGTTGGAAAAGGAAATATCTTCCCATAACAACTAGACAGAAGCATTCTCAGAAACTTATTTGAGATGTGTGTACTCAACTAAGAGAATTGAACCACCGTTTTGAAGGAGCAGTTTTGAAACACTCTTTTTCTGGAATCTGCAAGTGGATATTTGGCTAGCTTTGGGGATTTCGCTGGAAGCGGGAATACATATAAAAAGCACACAGCAGCGTTCTGAGAAACTGCTTTCTGATGTTTGCATTCAAGTCAAAAGTTGAACACTCCCTTTCATAGAGCAGTCTTGAAACACCCCTTTTGTAGTATCTGGAACTGGACTTTTGGAGCGATTTCAGGGCTAAGGTGAAAAAGGAAATATCTTCCCATAAAAACTGGACAGAAGCATTCTCAGAAACTTGTTTATGCTGTATCTACTCAACTAACAAAGTTGAACCTTTCTTTTGATAGAGCAGTTTTGAAATGGTCTTTTTGTGGAATCTGCAAGTGGATATTTGGCTAGTTTTGAGGATTTCGTTGGAAGCGGGAATTCATACAAATTGCAGACTGCAGCGTTCTGAGAAACATCTTTGTGATGTTTGTATTCAGGACACAGAGATGAACATTCCCTATCATAGAGCAGGTTGGAATCACTCCTTTTGTAGTATCTGGAAGTGGACATTTGGAGCGCTTTCAGGCCTATGTTGATAAAGGAAATATCTTCCCATAACAACTAGACACAAGCATTCTCAGAAACTTGTTTGTGATGTGTGCCCTCTACTGACAGAGTTGAACCTTTCTTTTCATAGAGCAGTTTTGAAACACTCTTTTTGTAGAATCTGCAAGAGGATATTTGCATAGCTTTGAGGATTTCGTGGGAAACGGGATTGTCTTCAGGTAAAATCTAGACAGAAGCATTCTCAGAAACTACTTTGGGATGTTTGCATTCAAGTCACAGAGTAGAACATTCCCTTTGGTAGAGTAGGTTTGAAACACTCTTTTTGTAGTATCTGGAAGTGGACATTTGGAGCGCTTTCAGGCCCATGTTGGAAAGGGAAATATCTTCCCGTAACAACTAGGCAGAAGCATTCTCAGAAACTTATTTGAGATGTGTGTACTCAACTAAGAGAATTGAACCACCGTTTTGAAGGAGCAGTTTTGAAACACTCTTTTTCTGGAATCTGCAAGAGTATATTTGCCTAGCCTTGAGGATTTCGTTGGAAACGGGATTGTCTTCAGAGAAAATCTAGACAGAAGCATTCTCAGAAACTTCTTTGGGATGTTTGCATTCAAGTCACAGAGTAGAACATTCCCTTTGGTAGAGCAGGTTTGAAACAAACACTCTTTTTTTAGTATATGGAAGTGGACATTTGGAGCGCTTTCAGGCCTACGTTGGAAAAGGAAATATCTTCCCATAACAACTAGACAGAAGCATTCTCAGAAACTGGTTTCGATGTGTGTCCTCAACTAACACAGTTGAACATTTCTTTAGACAGAACAGTTTTGAAACACTCTTTTTGTGGAATCTGCAAGTGGCTATTTGGCTAGATTTGAGGATTTCGTTGGAAACGGGATTACATATAAAAAGCAGTCAGCAGCATTCTCAGAAAGTTCTTTGTGATGATTGCATTCAAGTCACAGAATTGAACATTCCCTTTCACAGAGCAGGTTTGAAACACTCTTTTTGTAGTGTGTGTAAGTGGACATTTGGAGCACTTACCGGCCTAAGGTGAAAAAGGAAATATCTTCCCATAAAAACTAGACAGAAGCATTCTCAGAAACTTACTCGTGATGTGTGTCCTCAACTAAAGTAGTAGAACCTTTCTTTTCATAGAGAAGTTTTGAAACGCTCTTTTTGTGGAATCTGCAAGTGGATATTTGGCTAGTTTTGAGGATTTCGTTGGAAGCGGGAATTCATACAAATTGCAGACTGCAGCGTTCTGAGAAACATCTTTGTGATGTTTGTATTCAGGACACAGAGTTGAACATTCCCTATCATAGAGCAGGTTTGAATCACTCCTTTTCTAGTATCTGGAAGTGGACATTTGGAGCGCTTTCAGGCCTATGTTGGAAAAGGAAATATCTTCCCATAACAAATAGACAGAAGCATTCTCAGAAACTTATTTGAGATGTGTGTACTCAACTAAGAGAATTGAACCACCGTTTTGAAGGAGCAGTTTTGAAACTCTCTTTTTCTGGAATCTGCAAGTGGATATTTGGCTAGCTTTGGGGATTTCGCTGGAAGCGGGAATACATATAAAAAGCACACAGCAGCGTTCTGAGAAACTGCTTTCTGATGTTTGCATTCAAGTCAAAAGTTGAACACTCCCTTTCATAGAGCAGTCCTGAAACACCCCTTTTGTAGTATCTGGAACTGGACTTTTGGAGCGATTTCAGGGCTAAGGTGAAAAAGGAAATATCTTCCCATAAAAACTGGACAGAAGCATTCTCAGAAACTTGTTTATGCTGTATCTACTCAACTAACAAAGTTGAACCTTTCTTTTGATAGAGCAGTTTTGAAATGGTCTTTTTGTGGAATCTGCAAGTGGATATTTGGCTAGTTTTGAGGATTTCGTTGGAAGCGGGAATTCATACAAATTGCAGACTGCAGCGTTCTGAGAAACATCTTTGTGATGTTTGTATTCAGGACACAGAGTTGAACATTCCCTATCATAGAGCAGGTTGGAATCACTCCTTTTGTAGTATCTGGAAGTGGACATTTGGAGCGCTTTCAGGCCTATTTTGGAAAGGGAAATATCTTCCCGTAACAACTATGCAGAAGCATTCTCAGAAACTTGTTTGTGATGTGTGCATTCTACTGACACAGTTGAACCTTTCTTTTCATAGAGCAGTTTCGAAACTCTCTTTTTGTAGAATCTGCAAGAGGATATTTGCATAGCTTTGAGGATTTCGTGGGAAACGGGATTGTCTTCAGCTAAAATCTAGACAGAAAGCATTCTCAGAAACTTCTTTGGGATGTTTGCATTCAAGTCACAGAGTAGAACATTCCCTTTGGTAGAGCAGGTTTGAAACCCTCTTTTTGTAGTATCTGGAAGTGGACATTTGGAGCGCTTTCAGGCCCATGTTGGAAAGGGAAATATCTTCCCGTAACAACTAGGCAGAAGCATTCTCAGAAACTTATTTGAGATGTGTGTACTCAACTAAGAGAATTGAACCACCGTTTTGAAGGAGCAGTTTTGAAACACTCTTTTTCTGGAATCTGCAAGAGGATATTTGCCTAGCCTTGAGGATTTCGTTGGAAACGGGATTGTCTTCAGATCAAATCTAGACAGAAGCATTCTCAGAAACTTCTTTGGGATGTTTGCACTCAAGTCACAGAGTAGAATATTCCCTTTGGTAGAGCAGGTTTGAAACACTCTTTTTTTAGTATATGGAAGTGGACATTTGGAGCGGTTTCAGGCCTACGTTGGAAAAGGAAATATCTTCCCATAACAACTAGACAGAAGCATTCTCAGAAACTAGTTTCTGATGTGTGTCCTCAACTAACACAGTTGAACTTTTCTTTAGACAGAACAGTTTTGAAACACTCTTTTTGTGGAATCTGCAAGTGGATATTTGGCTAGATTTGAGGATTTCGTTGGAAACGGGATTACATATAAAAAGCAGACAGCAGCATTCTCAGAAAGTTCTTTGTGATGATTGCATTCAAGTCACAGAATTGAACATTCCCTTTCACAGAGCAGGTTTGAAACACTCTTTTTGTAGTGTGTGTAAGTGGACATTTGGAGCGCTTTCCGGCCTAAGGTGAAAAAGGAAATATCTTCCCATAAAAACTAGACAGAAGCATTCTCAGAAACTTACTCGTGATGTGTGTCCTCAACTAAAGGAGTAGAACCTTTCTTTTCATAGAGAAGTTTTGAAACGCTCTTTTTGTGGAATCTGCAAGTGGATATTTGGCTAGTTTTGAGGATTTCGTTGGAAGCGGGAATTCATACAAATTGCAGACTGCAGCGTTCTGAGAAACATCTTTGTGATGTTTGTATTCAGGACACAGAGTTGAACATTCCCTATCATAGAGCAGGTTGGAATCACTCCTTTTGTAGTATCTGGAAGTGGACATTTGGAGCGCTTTCAGGCCTATGTTGGAAAAGGAAATATCTTCCCATAACAACTAGACAGAAGCATTCTCAGAAACTTATTTGAGATGTGTGTACTCAACTAAGAGAATTGAACCACCGTTTTGAAGGAGCAGTTTTGAAACTCTCTTTTTCTGGAATCTGCAAGTGGATATTTGGCTAGCTTTGGGGATTTCGCTGGAAGCGGGAATACATATAAAAAGCACACAGCAGCGTTCTGAGAAACTGCTTTCTGATGTTTGCATTCAAGTCAAAAGTTGAACACTCCCTTTCATAGAGCAGTCTTGAAACACCCCTTTTGTAGTATCTGGAACTGGACTTTTGGAGCGATTTCAGGGCTAAGGTGAAAAAGGAAATATCTTCCCATAAAAACTGGACAGAAGCATTCTCAGAAACTTGTTTATGCTGTATCTACTCAACTAACAAAGTTGAACCTTTCTTTTGATAGAGCAGTTTTGAAATGGTCTTTTTGTGGAATCTGCAAGTGGATATTTGGCTAGTTTTGAGGATTTCGTTGGAAGCGGGAATTCATACAAATTGCAGACTGCAGCGTTCTGAGAAACATCTTTGTGATGTTTGTATTCAGGACACAGAGTTGAACATTCCCTATCATAGAGCAGGTTGGAATCACTCCTTTTGTAGTATCTGGAAGTGGACATTTGGAGCGCTTTCAGGCCTATTTTGGAAAGGGAAATATCTTCCCGTAACAACTATGCAGAAGCATTCTCAGAAACTTGTTTGTGATGTGTGCCCTCTACTGACACAGTTGAACCTTTCTTTTCATAGAGCACTTTCGAAACACTCTTTTTGTAGAATCTGCAAGAGGATATTTGCATAGCTTTGAGGATTTCGTGGGAAACGGGATTGTCTTCATGTAAAATCTAGACAGAAGCATTCTCAGAAACTTCTTTGGGATGTTTGCATTCAAGTCACAGAGTAGAACATTCCCTTTGGTAGAGCAGGTTTGAAACACTCTTTTTGTAGTATCTGGAAGTGGACATTTGGAGCGCTTTCAGGCCTATGTTGGAAAGGGAAATATCTTCCCGTAACAACTAGGCAGAAGCATTCTCAGAAACTTATTTGAGATGTGTGTACTCAACTAAGAGAATTGAACCACCGTTTTGAAGGAGCAGTTTTGAAACACTCTTTTTCTGGAATCTGCAAGAGGATATTTCCCTAGCCTTGAGGATTTCGTTGGAAACGGGATTGTCTTCAGATCAAATCTAGACAGAAGCATTCTCAGAAACTTCTTTGGGATGTTTGCATTCAAGTCACAGAGTAGAACATTCCCTTTGGTTGAGCAGGTTTGAAACACTCTTTTTTTAGTATATGGAAGTGGACATTTGGAGCGCTTTCAGGTCTACGTTGGAAAAGGAAATATCTTCCCATAACAACTAGACAGAAGCATTCTCAGAAACTAGTTTCTGATGTGTGTCCTCAACTAACACAGTTGAACATTTCTTTAGACAGAACAGTTTTGAAACACTCTCTTTGTGGAATCTGCAAGTGGATATTTGGCTAGATTTGAGGATTTCGATGGAAACGGGATTACATATAAAAAGCAGACAGCGGCATTCTCAGAAAGTTCTTTGTGATGATTGCATTCAAGTCACAGAATTGAACATTCCCTTTCACAGAGCAGGTTTGAAACACTCTTTTTGTAGTGTGTGTAAGTGGACATTTGGAGCACTTACCGGCCTAAGGTGAAAAAGGAAATAATCTTCCCATAAAAACTAGACAGAAGCACTCTCAGAAACTTACTCGTGATGTGTGTCCTCAACTAAAGGAGTAGAACCTTTCTTTTCATAGAGAAGTTTTGAAACGCTCTTTTTGTGGAATCTGCAAGTGGATATTTGGCTAGTTTTGAGGATTTCGTTGGAAGCGGGAATTCATACAAATTGCAGACTGCAGCGTTCTGAGAAACATCTTTGTGATGTTTGTATTCAGGACACAGAGATGAACATTCCCTATCATAGAGCATGTTGGAATCACTCCTTTTGTAGTATCTCGAAGTGGACATTTGGAGCGCTTTCAGGCCTATGTTGAAAAAGGAAATATCTTCCCATAACAACTAGACACAAGCATTCTCAGAAACTTATTTGAGATGTGTGTACTCAACTAAGAGAATTGAACCACCGTTTTGAAGGAGCAGTTTTGAAACACTCTTTTTCTGGAATCTGCAAGTGGATATTTGGCTAGCTTTGGGGATTTCGCTGGAAGCGGGAATACATATAAAAAGCACACAGCAGCGTTCTGAGAAACTGCTTTCTGATGTTTGCATTCAAGTCAAAAGTTGAACACTCCCTTTCATAGTGCAGTCCTGAAACACTCCTTTTGTAGTATCTGGAACTGGACTTTTGGAGCGATTTCAGGGCTAAGGTGAAAAAGGAAATATCTTCCCATAAAAACTGGACAGAAGCATTCTCAGAAACTTGTTTATGCTGTATCTACTCAACTAACAAAGTTGAACCTTTCTTTTGATAGAGCAGTTTTGAAATGCTCTTTTTGTGGAATCTGCAAGTGGATATTTGGCTAGTTTTGAGGATTTCGTTGGAAGCGGGAATTCATACAAATTGCAGACTGCAGCGTTCTGAGAAACATCTTTGTGATGTTTGTATTCAGGACACAGAGTTGAACATTCCCTATCATAGAGCAGGTTTGAATCACTCCTTTTGTAGTATCTGGAAGTGGACATTTGGAGCGCTTTCAGGCCTATGTTGGAAAAGGAAATATCTTCCCATAACAACTAGACAGAAGCATTCTCAGAAACTTATTTGAGATGTGTGTACTCAACTAAGAGAATTGAACCACCGTTTTGAAGGAGCAGTTTTGAAACTCTCTTTTTCTGGAATCTGCAAGTGGATATTTGGCTAGCTTTGGGGATTTCGCTGGAAGCGGGAATACATATAAAAAGCACACAGCAGCGTTCTGAGAAACTGCTTTCTGATGTTTGCATTCAAGTCAAAAGTTGAACACTCCCTTTCATAGAGCAGTCTTGAAACACCCCTTTTGTAGTATCTGGAACTGGACTTTTGGAGCGATTTCAGGGCTAAGGTGAAAAAGGAAATATCTTCCCATAAAAACTGGACAGAAGCATTCTCAGAAACTTGTTTATGCTGTATCTACTCAACTAACAAAGTTGAACCTTTCTTTTGATAGAGCAGTTTTGAAATGGTCTTTTTGTGGAATCTGCAAGTGGATATTTGGCTAGTTTTGAGGATTTCGTTGGAAGCGGGAATTCATACAAATTGCAGACTGCAGCGTTCTGAGAAACATCTTTGTGATGTTTGTATTCAGGACACAGAGTTGAACATTCCCTATCATAGAGCAGGTTTGAATCACTCCTTTTGTAGTATCTGGAAGTGGACATTTGGAGCGCTTTCAGGCCTATGTTGGAAAAGGAAATATCTTCCCATAACAACTAGACAGAAGCATTCTCAGAAACTTATTTGAGATGTGTGTACTCAACTAAGAGAATTGAACCACCGTTTTGAAGGAGCAGTTTTGAAACTCTCTTTTTCTGGAATCTGCAAGTGGATATTTGGCTAGCTTTGGGGATTTCGCTGGAAGCGGGAATACATATAAAAAGCACACAGCAGCGTTCTGAGAAACTGCTTTCTGATGTTTGCATTCAAGTCAAAAGTTGAACACTCCCTTTCATAGAGCAGTCTTGAAACACCCCTTTTGTAGTATCTGGAACTGGACTTTTGGAGCGATTTCAGGGCTAAGGTGAAAAAGGAAATATCTTCCCATAAAAACTGGACAGAAGCATTCTCAGAAACTTGTTTATGCTGTATCTACTCAACTAACAAAGTTGAACCTTTCTTTTGATAGAGCAGTTTTGAAATGGTCTTTTTGTGGAATCTGCAAGTGGATATTTGGCTAGTTTTTAGGATTTCGTTGGAAGCGGGAATTCATACAAATTGCAGACTGCAGCGTTCTGAGAAACATCTTTGTGATGTTTGTATTCAGGACAGAGAGTTGAACATTCCCTATCATAGAGCAGGTTGGAATCACTCCTTTTGTAGTATCTGGAAGTGGACATTTGGAGCGCTTTCAGGCCTATGTTGAAAAAGGAAATATCTTCCCATAACAACTAGACACAAGCATTCTCAGAAACTTGTTTGTGATGTGTGCCCTCTACTGACAGAGTTGAACCTTTCTTTTCATAGAGCAGTTTTGAAACACTCTTTTTGTAGAATCTGCAAGAGGATATTTGCATAGCTTTGAGGATTTCGTGGGAAACGGGATTGTCTTCAGGTAAAATCTAGACAGAAGCATTCTCAGAAACTTCTTTGGGATGTTTGCATTCAAGTCACAGAGTAGAACATTCCCTTTGGTAGAGCAGGTTTGAAACACTCTTTTTGTAGTATCTGGAAGTGGACATTTGGAGCGCTTTCAGGCCTATGTTGGAAAGGGAAATATCTTCCCGTAACAACTAGGCAGAAGCATTCTCAGAAACTTATTTGAGATGTGTGTACTCAACTAAGAGAATTGAACCACCGTTTTGAAGGAGCAGTTTTGAAACACTCTTTTTCTGGAATCTGCAAGAGGATATTTGCCTAGCCTTGAGGATTTCGTTGGAAACGGGATTGTCTTCAGATCAAATCTATACAGAAGCATTCTCAGAAACTTCTTTGGGATGTTTGCATTCAAGTCACAGAGTAGAACATTCCCTTTGGTAGAGCAGGTTTGAAACACTGTTTTTTTAGTATATGGAAGTGGACATTTGGAGCGCTTTCAGGCCTACGTTAGAAAAGGAAATATCTTCCCATAACAACTAGACAGAAGCATTCTCAGAAACTAGTTTCTGATATGTGTCCTCAACTAACACAGTTGAACTTTTCTTTACACAGAACAGTTTTGAAACACTCTTTTTGTGGAATCTGCAAGTGGATATTTGGCTAGATTTGAGGATTTCGTTGGAAACGGGATTACATATAAAAAGCAGACAGCAGCATTCTCAGAAAGTTCTTTGTGATGATTGCATTCAAGTCACAGAATTGAACATTCCCTTTCACAGAGCAGGTTTGAAACACTCTTTTTGTAGTGTGTGTAAGTGGACATTTGGAGCGCTTTCCGGCCAAAGGTGAAAAAGGAAATATCTTCCCATAAAAACTAGACAGAAGCATTCTCAGAAACTTACTCGTGATGTGTGTCCTCAACTAAAGGAGTAGAACCTTTCTTTTCATAGAGAAGTTTTGAAACGCTCTTTTTGTGGAATCTGCAAGTGGATATTTGGCTAGTTTTGAGGATTTCGTTGGAAGCGGGAATTCATACAAATTGCAGACTGCAGCGTTCTGAGAAACATCTTTGTGATGTTTGTATTCAGGACACAGAGTTGAACATTCCCTATCATAGAGCAGGTTTGAATCACTCCTTTTGTAGTATCTGGAAGTGGACATTTGGAGCGCTTTCAGGCCTATGTTGGAAAAGGAAATATCTTCCCATAACAACTAGACAGAAGCATTCCCAGAAACTTATTTGAGATGTGTGTACTCAACTAAGAGAATTGAACCACCGTTTTGAAGGAGCAGTTTGGAAACTCTCTTTTTCTGGAATCTGCAAGTGGATATTTGGCTAGCTTTGGGGATTTCGCTGGAAGCGGGAATACATATAAAAAGCACACAGCAGCGTTCTGAGAAACTGCTTTCTGATGTTTGCATTCAAGTCAAAAGTTGAACACTCCCTTTCATAGAGCAGTCTTGAAACACCCCTTTTGTAGTATCTGGAACTGGACATTTGGAGCGCTTTCAGGGCTAAGGTGAAAAAGGAAATATCTTCCCATAAAAACTGGACAGAAGCATTCTCAGAAACTTGTTTATGCTGTATCTACTCTACTAACAAAGTTGAACCTTTCTTTTGATAGAGCAGTTTTGAAATGCTCTTTTTGTGGAATCTGCAAGTGGATATTTGGCTAGTTTTGAGGATTTCGTTGGAAGCTGGAATTCATGCAAATTGCAGACTGCAGCGTTCTGAGAAACATCTTTGTGATGTTTGTATTCAGGACACAGAGTTGAACATTCCCTATCATAGAGCAGGTTTGAATCACTCCTTTTGTAGTATCTGGAAGTGGACATTTGGAGCGCTTTCAGGCCTATGTTGGAAAAGGAAATATCTTCCCATAACAACTAGACAGAAGCATTCTCAGAAACTTATTTGAGATGTGTGTACTCAACTAAGAGAATTGAACCACCGTTTTGAAGGAGCAGTTTTGAAACACTCTTTTTCTGGAATCTGCAAGTGGCTCTTTGGCTAGCTTTGGGGATTTCGCTGGAAGCGGGAATACATATAAAAAGCACACAGCAGCGTTCTGAGAAACTGCTTTCTGATGTTTGCATTCAAGTCAAAAGTTGAACACTCCCTTTCATAGAGCAGTCCTGAAACACTCCTTTTGTAGTATCTGGAACTGGACTTTTGGAGCGCTTTCAGGGCTAAGGTGAAAAAGGAAATATCTTCCCATAAAAACTGGACAGAAGCATTCTCAGAAACTTGTTTATGCTGTATCTACTCAACTAACAAAGTTGAACCTTTCTTTTGATAGAGCAGTTTTGAAATGCTCTTTTTGTGGAATCTGCAAGTGGATATTTGGCTAGTTTTGAGGATTTCGTTGGAAGCGGGAATTCATACAAATTTCAGACTGCAGCGTTCTGAGAAACATCTTTGTGATGTTTGTATTCAGGACAGAGAGTTGAACATTCCCTATCATAGAGCAGGTTGGAATCACTCCTTTTGTAGTATCTGGAAGTGGACATTTGGAGCGCTTTCAGGCCTATGTTGAAAAAGGAAATATCTTCCCATAACAACTAGACACAAGCATTCTCAGAAACTTGTTTGTGATGTGTGCCCTCTACTGACAGAGTTGAACCTTTCTTTTCATAGAGCAGTTTTGAAACACTCTTTTTGTAGAATCTGCAAGAGGATATTTGCATAGCTTTGAGGATTACGTGGGAAACGGGATTGTCTTCAGGTAAAATCTAGACAGAAGCATTCTCAGAAACTTCTTTGGGATGTTTGCATTCAAGTCACAGAGTAGAACATTCCCTTTGGTAGAGTAGGTTTGAAACACTCTTTTTGTAGTATTTGGAAGTGGACATTTGGAGCGCTTTCAGGCCTATGTTGGAAAGGGAAATATCTTCCCGTAACAACTAGGCAGAAGCATTCTCAGAAACTTATTTGAGATGTGTGTACTCAACTAAGAGAATTGAATCACCGTTTTGAAGGAGCAGTTTTGAAACACTCTTTTTCTGCAATCTGCAAGAGGATATTTGCCTAGCCTTGAGGATTTCGTTGGAAACGGGATTGTCTTCAGATCAAATCTAGACAGAAGCATTCTCAGAAACTTCTTTGGGATGTTTGCATTCAAGTCACAGAGTAGAACATTCCCTTTGGTAGAGCAGGTTTGAAACACTCTTTTTTTAGTATATGGAAGTGGACATTTGGAGCGCTTTCAGGCCTACGTTGGAAAAGGAAATATCTTCCCATAACAACTAGACAGAAGCATTCTCAGAAACTAGTTTCTGATGTGTGTCCTCAACTAACACAGTTGTACATTTCTTTAGACAGAACAGTTTTGAAACACTCTTTTTGTGGAATCTGCAAGTGGATATTGGGCTAGATTTGAGGATTTCGTTGGAAACGGGATTACATATAAAAAGCAGTCAGCAGCATTCTCAGAAAGTTCTTTGTGATGATTGCATTCAAGTCACAGAATTGAACATTCCCTTTCACAGAGCAGGTTTGAAACACTGTTTTTGTAGTGTGTGTAAGTGGACATTTGGAGTGCTTTCCGGCCTAAGGTGAAAAAGGACATATCTTCCCATAAAAACTAGACAGAAGCATTCTCAGAAACTTACTCGTGATGTGTGTCCTCAACTAAAGGAGTAGAACCTTTCTTTCATAGAGAAGTTTTGAAACGCTCTTTTTGTGGAATCTGCAAGTGGATATTTGGCTAGTTTGGAGGATTTCGTTGGAAGCGGGAATTCATACAAATTGCAGACTGCAGCGTTCTGAGAAACATCTTTGTGATGTTTGTATTCAGGACACAGAGTTGAACATTCCCTATCATAGAGCAGGTTGGAATCACTCCTTTTGTAGTATCTGGAAGTGGACATTTGGAGCGCTTTCAGGCCTATGTTGGAAAAGGAAATATCTTCCCATAACAACTAGACAGAAGCATTCTCAGAAACTTATTTGAGATGTGTGTACTCAACTAAGAGAATTGAACCACCGTTTTGAAGGAGCAGTTTTGAAACACTCTTTTTCTGGAATCTGCAAGTGGATATTTGGCTAGCTTTGGGGATTTCGCTGGAAGCGGGAATACATATAAAAAGCACACAGCCAGCGTTCTGAGCAAACTGCTTTCTGATGTTTGCATTCAAGTCAAAAGTTGAACACTCCCTTTCATAGAGCAGTCTTGAAACACCCCTTTTGTAGTATCTGGAACTGGACTTTTGGAGCGATTTCAGGGCTAAGGTGAAAAAGGAAATATCTTCCCATAAAAACTGGACAGAAGCATTCTCAGAAACTTGTTTATGCTGTATCTACTCAACTAACAAAGTTGAACCTTTCTTTTGATAGAGCAGTTTTGAAATGGTCTTTTTGTGGAATCTGCAAGTGGATATTTGGCTAGTTTTGAGGATTTCGTTGGAAGCGGGAATTCATACAAATTGCAGACTGCAGCGTTCTGAGAAACATCTTTGTGATGTTTGTATTCAGGACACAGAGTTGAACATTCCCTATCATAGAGCAGGTTGGAATCACTCCTTTTGTAGTATCTGGAAGTGGACATTTGGAGCGCTTTCAGGCCTATTTTGGAAAGGGAAATATCTTCCCGTAACAACTATGCAGAAGCATTCTCAGAAACTTGTTTGTGATGTGTGCCCTCTACTGACAGAGTTGAACCTTTCTTTTCATAGAGCAGTTTTGAAACACTCTTTTTGTAGAATCTGCAAGAGGATATTTGCATAGCTTTGAGGATTTCGTGGGAAACGGGATTGTCTTCAGGTAAAATCTAGACAGAAGCATTCTCAGAAACTTCTTTGGGATGTTTGCATTCAAGTCACAGAGTAGAACATTCCCTTTGGTAGAGCAGGTTTGAAACACTCTTTTTGTAGTATCTGGAAGTGGACATTTGGAGCGCTTTCAGGCCTATGATGGAAAGGGAAATATCTTCCCGTAACAACTAGGCAGAAGCATTCTCAGAAACTTATTTGAGATGTGTGTACTCAACTAAGAGAATTGAACCACCGTTTTGAAGGAGCAGTTTTGAAACACTCTTTTTCTGGAATCTGCAAGAGGATATTTGCCTAGCCTTGAGGATTTCGTTGGAAACGGGATTGTCTTCAGATCAAATCTAGACAGAAGCATTCTCAGAAACTTCTTTGGGATGTTTGCATTCAAGTCACAGAGTAGAACATTACCTTTGGTAGAGCAGGTTTGAAACACTCTTTTTTTAGTATATGGAAGTGGACATTTGGAGCGCTTTCAGGCCTACGTTGGAAAAGGAAATATCTTCCCATAACAACTAGACAGAAGCATTCTCAGAAACTAGTTTCTGATGTGTGTCCTCAACTAACACAGTTGAACTTTTCTTTAGACAGAACAGTTTTGAAACACTCTTTTTGTGGAATCTGCAAGTGGATATTTGGCTAGATTTGAGGATTTCGTTGGAAACGGGATTACATATAAAAAGCAGACAGCAGCATTCTCAGAAAGTTCTTTGTGATGATTGCATTCAAGTCACAGAATTGAACATTCCCTTTCACAGAGCAGGTTTGAAACCCTCTTTTTGTAGTGTGTGTAAGTGGACATTTGGAGCGCTTTCCGGCCTAAGGTGAAAAAGGAAATATCTTCCCATAAAAACTAGACAGAAGCATTCTCAGAAACTTACTCGTGATGTGTGTCCTCAACTAAAGGAGTAGAACCTTTCTATTCATAGAGAAGGTTTGAAACGCTCTTTTTGTGGAATCTCCAAGTGGATATTTGGCTAGTTTTGAGGATTTCCTTGGATGCGGGAATTCATACAAATTGCAGACTGCAGCGTTCTGAGAAACATCTTTGTGATGTTTGTATTCAGGACACAGAGATGAACATTACCTATCATAGAGCAGGTTGGAATCACTCCTTTTGTAGTATCTGGAAGTGGACATTTGGAGCGCTTTCAGGCCTATGTTGAAAAAGGAAATATCTTCCCATAACAACTAGACACAAGCATTCTCAGAAACTTGTTTGTGATGTGTGCCCTCTGCTGACAGAGTTGAACCTTTCTTTTCATAGAGCAGTTTTGAAACACTCTTTTTGTAGAATCTGCAAGAGGATATTTGCATAGCTTTGAGGATTTCGTGGGAAACGGGATTGTCTTCAGGTAAAATCTAGACAGAAGCATTCTCAGAAACTTCTTTGGGATGTTTGCATTCAAGTCACAGAGTAGAACATTCCCTTTGGTAGAGCAGGTTTGAAACCCTCTTTTTGTATTATCTGGAACTGGACATTTGGAGCGCTTTCAGGCCCATGTTGGAAAGGGAAATATCTTCCCGTAACAACTAGGCAGAAGCATTCTCAGAAACTTATTTGAGATGTGTGTACTCAACTAAGAGAATTGAACCACCGTTTTGAAGGAGCAGTTTTGAAACCCTCTTTTTCTGGAATCTGCAAGAGTATATTTGCCTAGCCTTGAGGATTTCGTTGGAAACGGGATTGTCTTCAGATAAAATCTAGACAGAAGCATTCTCAGAAACTTCTTTGGGATGTTTGCATTCAAGTCACAGAGTAGAACATTCCCTTTGGTAGAGCAGGTTTGAAACACTCTTTTTTTAGTATATGGAAGTGGACATTTGGAGCGCTTTCAGGCCTACGTTGGAAAAGGAAATATCTTCCCATAACAACTAGACAGAAGCATTCTCAGAAACTAGTTTCTGATGTGTGTCCTCAACTAACACAGTTGTACATTTCTTTAGACAGAACAGTTTTGAAACACTCTTTTTGTGGAATCTGCAAGTGGATATTGGGCTAGATTTGAGGATTTCGTTGGAAACGGGATTACATATAAAAAGCAGACAGCAGCATTCTCAGAAAGTTCTTTGTGATGATTGCATTCAAGTCACAGAATTGAACATTCCCTTTCACAGAGCAGGTTTGAAACACTCTTTTTGTAGTGTGTGTAAGTGGACATTTGGAGCACTTTCCGGCCTAAGGTGAAAAAGGAAATATCTTCCCATAAAAACTAGACAGAAGCATTCTCAGAAACTTACTCGTGATGTGTGTCCTCAACTAAAGGAGCAGAACCTTTCTTTTCATAGAGAAGTTTTGAAACGCTCTTTTTGTGGAATCTGCAAGTGGATATTTGGCTAGTTTGGAGGATTTCGTTGGAAGCGGGAATTCATACAAATTGCAGACTGCAGCGTTCTGAGAAACATCTTTGTGATGTTTGTATTCAGGACATAGAGTTGAACATTCCCTATCATAGAGCAGGTTGGAATCACTCCTTTTGTAGTATCTGGAAGTGGACATTTGGAGCGCTTTCAGGCCTATGTTGAAAAAGGAAATATCTTCCCATAACAACTAGACACAAGCATTCTCAGAAACTTGTTTGTGATGTGTGCCCTCTACTGACAGAGTTGAACCTTTCTTTTCATAGAGTAGTTTTGAAACACTCTTTTTGTAGTATCTGGAAGTGGACATTTGGAGCGCTTTCAGGCCTATGTTGGAAAGGGAAATATCTTCCCGTAACAACTAGGCAGAAGCATTCTCAGAAACTTATTTGAGATGTGTGTACTCAACTAAGAGAATTGAACCACCGTTTTGAAGGAGCAGTTTTGAAACACTCTTTTTCTGGAATCTGCAAGAGGATATTTGCCTAGCCTTGAGGATTTCGTTGGAAACGGGATTGTCTTCAGATCAAATCTAGACAGAAGCATTCTCAGAAACTTCTTTGGGATGTTTGCATTCAAGTCACAGAGTAGAACATTCCCTTTGGTAGAGCAGGTTTGAAACACTCTTTTTTTAGTATATGGAAGTGGACATTTGGAGCGCTTTCAGGCCTACGTTGGAAAAGGAAATATCTTCCCATAACAACTAGACAGAAGCATTCTCAGAAACTAGTTTCTGATGTGTGTCCTCAACTAACACAGTTGAACATTTCTTTAGACAGAACAGTTTTGAAACTCTCTTTTTGTGGAATCTGCAAGTGGCTATTTGGCTAGATTTGAGGATTTCGTTGGAAACGGGATTACATATAAAAAGCAGACAGCAGCATTCTCAGAAAGTTCTTTGTGATGATTGCATTCAAGTCACAGAATTGAACATTCCCTTTCACAGAGCAGGTTTGAAACACTCTTTTTATAGTGTGTGTAAGTGGACATTTGGAACACTTTCCGGCCTAAGGTGAAAAAGGAAATATCTTCCCATAAAAACTAGACAGAAGCATTCTCAGAAACTTACTCGTGATGTGTGTCCTCAACTAAAGGAGTAGAACCTTTCTTTTCATAGAGAAGTTTTGAAACGCTCTTTTTGTGGAATCTGCAAGTGGATATTTGGCTAGTTTGGAGGATTTCGTTGGAAGCGGGAATTCATACAAATTGCAGACTGCAGCTTTCCGAGAAACATCTTTGTGATGTCTGTATTCAGGACACAGAGTTGAACATTCCCTATCATAGAGCAGGTTTGAATCACTCCTTTTGTAGTATCTGGAAGTGGACATTTGGAGCGCTTTCAGGCCTATGTTGGAAAAGGAAATATCTTCCCATAACAACTAGACAGAAGCATTCTCAGAAACTTATTTGAGATGTGTGTACTCAACTAAGAGAATTGAACCACCGTTTTGAAGGAGCAGTTTTGAAACACTCTTTTTCTGGAATCTGCAAGTGGATATTTGGCTAGCTTTGGGGATTTCGCTGGAAGCGGGAATACATATAAAAAGCACACAGCAGCGTTCTGAGAAACTGCTTTCTGATGTTTGCATTCAAGTCAAAAGTTGAACACTCCCTTTCATAGAGCAGTCTTGAAACACCCCTTTTGTAGTATCTGGAACTGGACTTTTGGAGCGATTTCAGGGCTAAGGTGAAAAAGGAAATATCTTCCCATAAAAACTGGACAGAAGCATTCTCAGAAACTTGTTTATGCTGTATCTACTCAACTAACAAAGTTGAACCTTTCTTTTGATAGAGCAGTTTTGAAATGGTCTTTTTGTGGAATCTGCAAGTGGATATTTGGCTAGTTTTGAGGATTTCGTTGGAAGCGGGAATTCATACAAATTGCAGACTGCAGCGTTCTGAGAAACATCTTTGTGATGTTTGTATTCAGGACAGAGAGTTGAACATTCCCTATCATAGAGCAGGTTGGAATCACTCCTTTTGTAGTATCTGGAAGTGGACATTTGGAGCGCTTTCAGGCCTATGTTGAAAAAGGAAATATCTTCCCATAACAACTAGACACAAGCATTCTCAGAAACTTGTTTGTGATGTGTGCCCTCTACTGACAGAGTTGAACCTTTCTTTTCATAGAGCAGTTTGGAAACACTCTATTTGTAGAATCTGCAAGAGGATATTTGCATAGCTTTGAGGATTTCGTGGGAAACGGGATTGTCTTCAGGTAAAATCTAGACAGAAGCATTCTCAGAAACTTCTTTGGGATGTTTGCATTCAAGTCACAGAGCAGAACATTCCCTTTGGTAGAGCAGGTTTGAAACACTCTTTTTGTAGTATCTGGAAGTGGACATTTGGAGCGCTTTCAGGCCTATGTTGGAAAGGGAAATATCTTCCCGTAACAACTAGGCAGAAGCATTCTCAGAAAGTTATTTGAGATGTGTGTACTCAACTAAGAGAATTGAACCACCGTTTTCAAGGAGCAGTTTTGAAACACTCTTTCTCTGGAATCTGCAAGAGGATATTTGCCTAGCCTTGAGGATTTCGTTGGAAACGGGATTGTCTTCAGATCAAATCTAGACAGAAGCATTCTCAGAAACTTCTTTGGGATGTTTGCATTCAAGTCACAGAGTAGAACATTCCCTTTGGTAGAGCAGGTTTGAAACACTCTTTTTTTAGTATATGGAAGTGGACATTTGGAGCGCTTTCAGGCCTACGTTGGAAAAGGAAATATCTTCCCATAAAAACTAGACAGAAGCATTCTCAGAAACTAGTTTCTGATGTGTGTCCTCAACTAACACAGTTGAACATTTCTTTAGACAGAACAGTTTTGAAACACTCTTTTTGTGGAATCTGCAAGTGGCTATTTGGCTAGATTTGAGGATTTCGTTGGAAACGGGATTACATATAAAAAGCAGTCAGCAGCATTCTCAGAAAGTTCTTTGTGATGATTGCATTCAAGTCACAGAATTGAACACTCCCTTTCACAGAGCAGGTTTGAAACACTCTTTTTGTAGTGTGTGTAAGTGGACATTTGGAGCGCTTTCCGGCCTAAGGTGAAAAAGGAAATATCTTCCCATAAAAACTAGACAGAAGCATTCTCAGAAACTTACTCGTGATGTGTGTCCTCAACTAAAGGAGTAGAACCTTTCTTTTCATAGAGAAGTTTTGAAACGCTCTTTTTGTGGAATCTGCAAGTGGATATTTGGCTAGTTTTGAGGATTTCGTTGGAAGCGGGAATTCATACAAATTGCAGACTGCAGCGTTCTGAGAAACATCTTTGTGATGTTTGTATTCAGGACACAGAGATGAACATTCCCTATCATAGAGCAGGTTGGAATCACTCCTTTTGTAGTATCTGGAAGTGGACATTTGGAGCGCTTTCAGGCCCTATGTTGAAAAAGGAAATATCTTCCCATAACAACTAGACACAAGCATTCCCAGTAAACTTGTTTGTGATGTGTGCCCTCTACTGACAGATTTGAACCTTTCTTTTCATAGAGCAGTTTTGAAACACTCTTTTTGTAGAATCTGCAAGAGGATATTTGCATAGCTTTGAGGATTTCGTGGGAAACGGGATTGTCTTCAGGTAAAATCTGGACAGAAGCATTCTCAGAAACTTCTTTGGGATGTTTGCATTCAAGTCACAGGGTAGAACATTCCCTTTGGTAGAGCAGGTTTGAAACACTCTTTTTGTAGTGTGTGTAAGTGGACATTTGGAGCGCTTTCAGGCCTACGTTGGAAAAGGAAATATCTTCCCATAACAACTAGACAGAAGCATTCTCAGAAACTAGTTTCTGATGTGTGTCCTCAACTAACACAGTTGAACATTTCTTTAGACAGAACAGTTTTGAAACACTCTTTTTGTGGAATTTGCAAGTGGATATTTGGCTAGATTTGAGCATTTCGTTGGAAACGGGATTACATATAAAAAGCAGACAGCGGCATTCTCAGAAAGTTCTTTGTGATGATTGCATTCAAGTCACAGAATTGAACATTCCCTTTCACAGAGCAGGTTTGAAACACTCTTTTTGTAGTGTGTGAAAGTGGACATTTGGAGCGCTTTCCGGCCTAAGGTGAAAAAGGAAATATCTTCCCATAAAAACTAGACAGAAGCATTCTCAGAAACTTACTCGTGATGTGTGTACTCAACTAAAGGAGTAGAAACTTTCTTTTCATAGAGAAGTTTTGAAACGCTCTTTTTGTGGAATCTGCAGGTGGATATTTGGCTAGTTTTGAGGATTACGTTGGAAACGGGAATTCATACAAATTGCAGACTGCAGCGTTCTGAGAAACATCTTTGTGATGTTTGTATTCAGGACACAGAGTTGAACATTCCCTATCATAGAGCAGGTTGGAATCACTCCTTTTGTAGTAACTGGAAGTGGACTTTTGGAGCGCTTTCAGGCCTATGTTGGAAAAGGAAATATCTTCCCATAACAAATAGACAGAAGCATTCTCAGAAACTTATTTGAGATGTGTGTACTCAACTAAGAGAATTGAACCACCGTTTTGAAGGAGCAGTTTTGAAACACTCTTTTTCTGGAATCTGCAAGTGGATATCTGGCTAGCTTTGGGGATTTCGCTGGAAGCGGGAATACATATAAAAAGCACACAGCAGCGTTCTGAGAAACTTCTTTCTGATGTTCGCATTCAAGTCAAAAGTTGAACACTCCCTTTCATAGAGCAGTCTTGAAACTCCCCTTTTGTGGTATCTGGAAGTGGACATTTGGAGTGCTTTCAGGGCTAAGGTGAAAAAGGAAATATCTTCCCATAAAAACTGGACAGAAGCATTCTCAGAAACTTGTTTATGCTGTATCTACTCAGCTAACAAAGTTGAACCTTTCTTTTGATAGAGCAGTTTTGAAATGCTCTTTTTGTGGAGTCTGCAAGTGGATATTTGGTTAGTTTTGAGGATTTCTTTGGAAGCGGGAATTCATACAAATTGCAGACTGCAGCGTTCTGAGAAACATCTTTGTGATGTTTGTATTCAGGACACAGAGATGAACATTCCCTATCATAGAGCAGGTTGGAATCACGCCTTTTGTAGTGTCTGGAAGTGGACATTTGGAGCGCTTTCAGGCCTATGTTGAAAAAGGAAATATCTTCCCATAACAACTAGACACAAGCATTCTCAGAAACTTGTTTGTGATGTGTGCCCTCTACTGACAGAGTTGAACCTTTCTTTTCATAGAGCAGTTTTGAAACACTCTTTTTGTAGAATCTGCAAGAGGATATTTGCATAGCTTTGAGGATTTCGTGGGAAACGGGATTGTCTTCAGGTAAAATCTAGACAGAAGCATTCTCAGAAACTTCTTTGGGATGTTTGCATTCAAGTCACAGAGTAGAACATTCCCTTTGGTAGAGTAGGTTTGAAACACTCTTTTTGTAGTATCTGGAAGTGGACATTTGGAGCGCTTTCAGGCCCATGTTGGAAAGGGAAATATCTTCCCGTAACAACTAGGCAGAAGCATTCTCAGAAACTTATTTGAGATGTGTGTACTCAACTAAGAGAATTGAACCACCGTTTTGAAGGAGCAGTTTTGAAACACTCTTTTTCTGGAATCTGCAAGAGGATATTTGCCTAGCCTTGAGGATTTCGTTGGAAACGGGATTGTCTTCAGATCAAATCTAGACAGAAGCGTTCTGAGAAACTGCTTTCTGATGTTTGCATTCAAGTCAAAAGTTGAACACTCCCTTTCATAGAGCAGTCCTGAAACACTCCTTTTGTAGTATCTGGAACTGGACTTTTGGAGCGCTTTCAGGCCTACGTTGGAAAAGGAAATATCTTCCCATAACAACTAGACAGAAGCATTCTCAGAAACTAGTTTCTGATGTGTGTCCTCAACTAACACAGTTGAACATTTCTTTAGACAGAACAGTTTTGAAACACTCTTTTTGTGGAATCTGCAAGTGGCTATTTGGCTAGATTTGAGGATTTCGTTGGAAACGGGATTACATATAAAAAGCAGACAGCAGCATTCTCAGAAAGTTCTTTGTGATGATTGCATTCAAGTCACAGAATTGAACATTCCCTTTCACAGAGCAGGTTTGAAACACTCTTTTTGTAGTGTGTGTAAGTGGACATTTGGAGCACTTTCCGGCCTAAGGTGAGAAAGGAAATATCTTCCCATAAAAACTAGACAGAAGCATTCTCAGAAACTTACTCGTGATGTGTGTCCTCAACTAAAGGAGTAGAACCTTTCTTTCATAGAGAAGTTTTGAAACGCTCTTTTTGTGGAATCTGCAAGTGGATATTTGGCTAGTTTGGAGGATTTCGTTGGAAGCGGGAATTCATACAAATTGCAGACTGCAGCGTTCTGAGAAACATCTTTGTGATGTTTGTATACAGGACACAGAGTTGAACATTCCCTATCATAGAGCAGGTTGGAATCACTCCTTTTGTAGTATCTGGAAGTGGACATTTGGAGCGCTTTCAGGCCTATGTTGGAAAAGGAAATATCTTCCCATAACAACTAGACAGAAGCATTCTCAGAAACTTATTTGAGATGTGTCTACTCAACTAAGAGAATTGAACCACCGTTTTGAAGGAGCAGTTTTGAAACACTCTTTTTCTGGAATCTGCAAGTGGATATTTGGCTAGCTTTGGGGATTTCGCTGGAAGCGGGAATACATATAAAAAGCACACAGCAGCGTTCTGAGAAACTGCTTTCTGATGTTTGCATTCAAGTCAAAAGTTGAACACTCCCTTTCATAGAGCAGTCTTGAAACACCCCTTTTGTAGTATCTGGAACTGGACTTTTGGAGCGATTTCAGGGCTAAGGTGAAAAAGGAAATATCTTCCCATAAAAACTGGACAGAAGCATTCTCAGAAACTTGTTTATGCTGTATCTACTCAACTAACAAAGTTGAACCTTTCTTTTGATAGAGCAGTTTTGAAATGGTCTTTTTGTGGAATCTGCAAGTGGATATTTGGCTAGTTTTGAGGATTTCGTTGGAAGCGGGAATTCATACAAATTGCAGACTGCAGCGTTCTGAGAAACATCTTTGTGATGTTTGTATTCAGGACACAGAGTTGAACATTCCCTATCATAGAGCAGGTTGGAATCACTCCTTTTGTAGTATCTGGAAGTGGACATTTGGAGCGCTTTCAGGCCTATTTTGGAAAGGGAAATATCTTCCCGTAACAACTATGCAGAAGCATTCTCAGAAACTTGTTTGTGATGTGTGCCCTCTACTGACAGAGTTGAACCTTTCTTTTCATAGAGCAGTTTTGAAACACTCTTTTTGTAGAATCTGCAAGAGGATATTTGCATAGCTTTGAGGATTTCGTGGGAAACGGGATTGTCTTCAGGTAAAATCTAGACAGAAGCATTCTCAGAAACTTCTTTGGGATGTTTGCATTCAAGTCACAGAGTAGAACATTCCCTTTGGTAGAGCAGGTTTGAAACACTCTTTTTGTAGTATCTGGAAGTGGACATTTGAAGCGCTTTCAGGCCTATGTTGGAAAGGGAAATATCTTCCCGTAACAACTAGGCAGAAGCATTCTCAGAAACTTATTTGAGATGTGTGTACTCAACTAAGAGAATTGAACCACCGTTTTGAAGGAGCAGTTTTGAAACACTCTTTTTCTGGAATCTGCTAGAGTATATTTGCCTAGCTTTGAGGATTTCGTTGGAAACGGGATTGTCTTCAGCTAAAATCTAGACAGAAGCATTCTCAGAAACTTCTTTTGGATGTTTCTATTCAAGTCACAGAGTAGAACATTCCCTTTGGTAGAGCAGGTTTGAAACACTCTTTTTTTAGTATATGGAAGTGGACATTTGGAGCGCTTTCAGGCCTATGTTGGAAAGGGAAATATCTTCCCGTAACAACTAGGCAGAAGCATTCTCAGAAACTTATTTGAGATGTGTGTACTCAACTAAGAGAATTGAACCACCGTTTTGAAGGAGCAGATTTGAAACACTCTTTTTCTGGAATCTGCAAGAGTATATTTGCCTAGCCTTGAAGATTTCGTTGGAAACGGGATTGTCTTCAGATAAAATCTAGACAGAAGCATTCTCAGAAACTTCTTTGGGATGTTTGCATTCAAGTCACAGAGTAGAACATTCCCTTTGGTAGAGCAGGTTTGAAACACTCTTTTTTTAGTATATGGAAGTGGACATTTGGAGCGCATTCAGGCCTACGTTGGAAAAGGAAATATCTTCCCATAACAACTAGACAGAAGCATTCTCAGAAACTAGTTTCTGATGTGTGTCCTCAACTAAAACAGTTGTACATTTCTTTACACAGAACAGTTTTGAAACACTCTTTTTGTGGAATCTGCAAGTGGATATTGGGGTAGATTTGAGGATTTCGTTGGAAACGGGATTACATATAAAAAGCAGTCAGCAGCATTCTCAGAAAGTTCTTTGTGATGATTGCATTCAAGTCACAGAATTGAACATTCCCTTTCCAGAGCAGGTTTGAAACACTCTTTTTGTAGTGTGTGTAAGTGGACATTTGGAGCGCTCTCCGGCCTAAGGTGAAAAAGGACATATCTTCCCATAAAAACTAGACAGAAGCATTCTCAGAAACTTACTCGTGATGTGTGTCCTCAACTAAAGGAGTAGAACCTTTCTTTTCATAGAGAAGTTTTGAAACGCTCTTTTTGTGGAATCTGCAAGTGGATATTTGGCTAGTTTTGAGGATTTCGTTGGAAGCGGGAATTCATACAAATTGCAGACTGCAGCGTTCTGAGAAACATCTTTGTGATGTTTGTATTCAGGACACAGAGTTGAACATTCCCTATCATAGAGCAGGTTGGAATCACTCCTTTTGTAGTATCTGGAAGTGGACATTTGGAGCGCTTTCAGGCCTATGTTGGAAAAGGAAATATCTTCCCATAACAACTAGACAGAAGCATTCTCAGAAACTTATTTGAGATGTGTGTACTCAACTAAGAGAATTGAACCACCGTTTTGAAGGAGCAGTTTTGAAACTCTCTTTTTCTGGAATCTGCAAGTGGATATTTGGCTAGCTTTGGGGATTTCGCTGGAAGCGGGAATACATATAAAAAGCACACAGCAGCGTTCGGGAAACTGCTTTCTGATGTTTGCATTCAAGTCAAAAGTTGAACACTCCCTTTCATAGAGCAGTCTTGAAACACCCCTTTTGTAGTATCTGGAACTGGACTTTTGGAGCGATTTCAGGGCTAAGGTGAAAAAGGAAATATCTTCCCATAAAAACTGGACAGAAGCATTCTCAGAAACTTGGTTATGCTGTATCTACTCAACTAACAAAGTTGAACCTTTCTTTTGATAGAGCAGTTTTGAAATGGTCTTTTTGTGGAATCTGCAAGTGGATATTTGGCTAGTTTTGAGGATTTCGTTGGAAGCGGGAATTCATACAAATTGCAGACTGCAGCGTTCTGAGAAACATCTTTGTGATGTTTGTATTCAGGACACAGAGTTGAACATTCCCTATCATAGAGCAGGTTGGAATCACTCCTTTTGTAGTATCTGGAAGTGGACATTTGGAGCGCTTTCAGGCCTATGTTGGAAAAGGAAATATCTTCCCATAACAACTAGACAGAAGCATTCTCAGAAACTTATTTGAGATGTGTGTACTCAACTAAGAGAATTGAACCACCGTTTTGAAGGAGCAGTTTTGAAACACTCTTTTTCTGGAATCTGCAAGTGGATATTTGGCTAGCTTTGGGGATTTCGCTGGAGGCGGGAATACATATAAAAAGCACACAGCAGCGTTCTGAGAAACTGCTTTCTGATGTTTGCATTCAAGTCAAAAGTTGAACACTCCCTTTCATAGAGCAGTCCTGAAACACTCCTTTTGTAGTATCTGGAACTGGACTTTTGGAGCGCTTTCAGGGCTAAGGTGAAAAAGGAAATATCTTCCCATAAAAACTGGACAGAAGCATTCTCAGAAACTTGTTTATGCTGTATCAACTCAACTAACAAAGTTGAACCTTTCTTTTGATAGAGCAGTTTTGAAATGCTCTTTTTGCGGAATCTGCAAGTGGATATTTGGCTAGTTTTGAGGATTTCGTTGGAAGCGGGAATTCATACAAATTGCAGACTGCAGCGTTCTGAGAAACATCTTTGTGATGTTTGTATTCAGGACAGAGAGTTGAACATTCCCTATCATAGAGCAGGTTGGAATCACTCCTTTTGTAGTATCTGGAAGTGGACATTTGGAGCGCTTTCAGGCCTATGTTGAAAAAGGAAATATCTTCCCATAACAACTAGACACAAGCATTCTCAGAAACTTGTTTGTGATGTGTGCCCTCTACTGACAGAGTTGAACCTTTCTTTTCATAGAGCAGTTTTGAAACACTCTTTTTGTAGAATCTGCAAGAGGATATTTGCATAGCTTTGAGGATTTCGTGGGAAACGGGATTGTCTTCAGGTAAAATCTAGACAGAAGCATTCTCAGAAACTTCTTTGGGATGTTTGCATTCAAGTCACAGAGTAGAACATTCCCTTTGGTAGAGCAGGTTTGAAACACTCTTTTTGTAGTATCTGGAAGTGGACATTTGGAGCGCTTTCAGGCCTATGTTGGAAAGGGAAATATCTTCCCGTAACAACTAGGCAGAAGCATTCTCAGAAACTTATTTGAGATGTGTGTACTCAACTAAGAGAATTGAACCACCGTTTTGAAGGAGCAGTTTTGAAACACTCTTTTTCTGGAATCTGCAAGAGGATATTTGCCTAGCCTTGAGGATTTCGTTGGAAACGGGATTGTCTTCAGATCAAATCTAGACAGAAGCATTCTCAGAAACTTCTTTGGGATGTTTGCATTCAAGTCACAGAGTAGAACATTCCCTTTGGTAGAGCAGGTTTGAAACACTCTTTTTTTAGTATATGGAAGTGGACATTTGGAGCGCTTTCAGGCCTACGTTGGAAAAGGAAATATCTTCCCATAACAACTAGACAGAAAGCATTCTCAGCAAACTAGTTTCTGATGTGTGTCCTCAACTAACACAGTTGAACATTTCTTTAGACAGAACAGTTTTGAAACACTCTTTTTGTGGAATCTGCAAGTGGCTATTTGGCTAGATTTGAGGATTTCGTTGGAAACGGGATTACATATAAAAAGCAGACAGCAGCATTCTCAGAAAGTTCTTTGTGATGATTGCATTCAAGTCACAGAATTGAACATTCCCTTTCACAGAGCAGGTTTGAAACACTCTTTTTGTAGTGTGTGTAAGTGGACATTTGGAGCACTTTCCGGCCTAAGGTGAAAAAGGAAATATCTTCCCATAAAAACTAGACAGAAGCACTCTCAGAAACTTACTCGTGATGTGTGTCCTCAACTAAAGGAGTAGAACCTTTGTTTTCATAGAGAAGTTTTGAAACGCTCTTTTTGTGGAATCCGCAAGTGGATATTTGGCTAGTTTGGAGGATTTCATTGGAAGCGGGAATTCATACAAATTGCAGACTGCAGCGTTCTGAGAAACTGCTTTCTGATGTTTGCATTCAAATCAAAAGTTGAACACTCCCTTTCATAGAGCAGTCTTGAAACAGCCCTTTTGTAGTATCTGGAACTGGACATTTGGGGCGCTTTCAGGGCTAAGGTGAAAAAGGAAATATCTTCCCATAAAAACTGGACAGAAGCATTCTCAGAAACTTGTTTATGCTGTATCTACTCAACTAACAAAGTTGAACCTTTCTTTTGATAGAGCAGTTTTGAAATGCTCTTTTTGTGGAATCTGCAAGTGGATATTTGGCTAGTTTTGAGGATTTCGTTGGAAGCGGGAATTCATACAAATTGCAGACTGCAGCGTTCTGAGAAACATCTTTGTGATGTTTGCATTCAGGACAGAGAGTTGAACATTCCCTATCATAGAGCAGGTTGGAATCACTCCTTTTGTAGTATCTGGAAGTGGACATTTGGAGCGCTTTCTGGCCTATGTTGAAAAAGGAAATATCTTCCCATAACAACTAGACACAAGCATTCTCAGAAACTTGTTTGTGATGTGTGCCATCTACTGACAGAGTTGAACCTTTCTTTTCATAGAGCAGTTTTGAAACACTCTTTTTGTAGAATCTGCAAGAGGATATTTGCATAGCTTTGAGGATTTCGTGGGAAACGGGATTGTCTTCAGGTAAAATCTAGACAGAAGCATTCTCAGAAACTTCTTTGGGATGTTTGCATTCAAGTCACAGAGTAGAACATTCCCTTTGGTAGAGCAGGTTTGAAACACTCTTTTTGTAGTATCTGGAAGTGGACATTTGGAGCGCTTTCAGGCCCATGTTGGAAAGGGAAATATCTTCCCGTAACAACTAGGCAGAAGCATTCTCAGAAACTTATTTGAGATGTGTGGACTCAACTAAGAGAATTGAACCACCGTTTTGAAGGAGCAGTTTTGAAACACTCTTTTTCTGGAATCTGCAAGAGTATATTTGCCTAGCCTTGAGGATTTCGTTGGAAACGGGATTGTCTTCAGATAAAATCTAGACAGAAGCATTCTCAGAAACTTCTTTGGGATGTTTGCATTCAAGTCACAGAGTAGAACATTCCCTTTGGTAGAGCAGGTTTGAAACACTCTTTTTTTAGTATATGGAAGTGGACATTTGGAGCGCTTTCAGGCCTACGTTGGAAAAGGAAATATCTTCCCATAACAACTAGACAGAAGGATTCTCAGAAACTAGTTTCTGATGTGTGTCCTCAACTAACACAGTTGTACATTTCTTTATACAGAACAGTTTTGAAACACTCTTTTTGTGGAATCTGCAAGTGGATATTGGGCTAGATTTGAGGATTTCGTTGGAAACGGGATTACATATAAAAAGCAGACAGCAGCATTCTCAGAAAGTTCTTTGTGATGATTGCATTCAAGTCACAAAATTGAACATTCCCTTTCACAGAGCAGGTTTGAAACACTCTTTTTGTAGTGTGTGTAATTGGACATTTGGAGCGCTTTCCGGCCTAAGGTGAAAAAGGAAATATCTTCCCATAAAAACTAGACAGAAGCATTCTCAGAAACTTACTCGTGATGTGTGTCCTCAACTAAAGGAGTAGAACCTTTCTTTTCATAGAGAAGTTTTGAAACGCTCTTTTTGTGGAATCTGCAAGTGGATATTTGGCTAGTTTTGAGGATTTCGTTGGAAGCGGGAATTCATACAAATTGCAGACTGCAGCGTTCTGAGAAACATCTTTGTGATGTTTGTATTCAGGACACAGAGTTGAACATTCCCTATCATAGAGCAGGTTTGAATCACTCCTTTTGTAGTATCTGGAAGTGGACATTTGGAGCGCTTTCAGGCCTATGTTGGAAAAGGAAATATCTTCCCATAACAACTAGACAGAAGCATTCTCAGAAACTTATTTGAGATGTGTGTACTCAACTAAGAGAATTGAACCACCGTTTTGAAGGAGCAGTTTTGAAACACTCTTTTTCTGGAATCTGCAAGTGGATATTTGGCTAGCTTTGGGGATTTCGCTGGAAGCGGGAATACATATAAAAAGCACACAGCAGCGTTCTGAGAAACTGCTTTCTGATGTTTGCATTCAAGTCAAAAGTTGAACACTCCCTTTCATAGAGCAGTCCTGAAACACTCCTTTTGTAGTATCTGGAACTGGACTTTTGGAGCGCTTTCAGGGCTAAGGTGAAAAAGGAAATATCTTCCCATAAAAACTGGACAGAAGCATTCTCAGAAACTTACTCGTATTGTGTGTCCTCAACTAAAGGAGTAGAACCTTTCTTTTCATAGAGAAGTTTTGAAACGCTCTTTTTGTGGAATCTGCAAGTGGATATTTGGCTAGTTTTGAGGATTTCGTTGGAAGCGGGAATTCATACAAATTGCAGACTGCAGCGTTCTGAGAAACTGCTTTCTGATGTTTGCATTCAAGTCAAAAGTTGAACACTCCCTTTCATAGAGCAGTCCTGAAACACTCCTTTTGTAGTATCTGGAACTGGACTTTTGGAGCGCTTTCAGGGCTAAGGTGAAAAAGGAAATATCTTCCCATAAAAACTGGACAGAAGCATTCTCAGAAACTTGTTTATGCTGTATCTACTCAACTAACAAAGTTGAACCTTTCTTTTGATAGAGCAGTTTTGAAATGCTCTTTTTGTGGAATCTGCAAGTGGATATTTGGCTAGTTTTGAGGATTTCGTTGGAAGCGGGAATTCATACAAATTGCAGACTGCAGCGTTCTGAGAAACATCTTTGTGGTGTTTGTATTCAGGACAGAGAGTTGAACATTCCCTATCATAGAGCAGGTTGGAATCACTCCTTTTGTAGTATCTGGAAGTGGACATTTGGAGCGCTTTCTGGCCTATGTTGAAAAAGGAAATATCTTCCCATAACAACTAGACACAAGCATTCTCAGAAACTTGTTTGTGATGTGTGCCCTCTACTGACAGAGTTGAACCTTTCTTTTCATAGAGCAGTTTTGAAACACTCTTTTTGTAGAATCTGCAAGAGGATATTTGCATAGCTTTGAGGATTTCGTGGGAAACGGGATTGTCTTCAGGTAAAATCTAGACAGAAGCATTCTCAGAAACTTCTTTGGGATGTTTGCATTCAAGTCACAGAGCAGAACATTCCCTTTGGTAGAGCAGGTTTGAAACACTCTTTTTGTAGTATCTGGAAGTGGACATTTGGAGCGCTTTCAGGCCTATGTTGGAAAGGGAAATATCTTCCCGTAACAACTAGGCAGAAGCATTCTCAGAAACTTATTTGAGATGTGTGTATTCAACTAAGAGAATTGAACCACCGTTTTGAAGGAGCAGTTTTGAAACACTCTTTTTCTGGAATCTGAAAGAGGATATTTGCCTAGCCTTGAGGATTTCGTTGGAAACGGGATTGTCTTCAGATCAAATCTATACAGAAGCATTCTCAGAAACTTCCTTGGGATGTTTGCATTCAAGTCACAGAGTAGAACATTCCCTTTGGTAGAGCAGGTTTGAAACACTCTTTTTTTAGTATATGGAAGTGGACATTTGGAGCGCATTCAGGCCTACGTTGGAAAAGGAAATATCTTCCCATAACAACTAGACAGAAGCATTCTCAGAAACTAGTTTCTGATGTGTGTCCTCAACTAACACAGTTGAACATTTCTTTAGACAGAACAGTTTTGAAACACTCTTTTTGTGGAATCTGCAAGTGGCTATTTGGCTAGATTTGAGGATTTCGTTGGAAACGGGATTACATATAAAAAGCAGTCAGCAGCATTCTCAGAAAGTTCTTTGTGATGATTGCATTCAAGTCACAGAATTGAACATTCCCTTTCACAGAGCAGGTTTGAAACACTCTTTTTGTAGTGTGTGTAAGTGGACATTTGGAGCACTTACCGGCCTAAGGTGAAAAAGGAAATATCTTCCCATAAAAACTAGACAGAAGCATTCTCAGAAACTTACTCGTGATGTGTGTCCTCAACTAAAGGAGTAGAACCTTTCTTTTCATAGAGAAGTTTTGAAACGCTCTTTTTGTGGAATCTGCAAGTGGATATTTGGCTAGTTTTGAGGATTTCGTTGGAAGCGGGAATTCATACAAATTGCAGACTGCAGCGTTCTGAGAAACATCTTTGTGATGTTTGTATTCAGGACACAGAGTTGAACATTCCCTATCATAGAGCAGGTTTGAATCACTCCTTTTGTAGTATCTGGAAGTGGACATTTGGAGCGCTTTCAGGCCTATGTTGGAAAAGGAAATATCTTCCCATAACAACTAGACAGAAGCATTCTCAGAAACTTATTTGAGATGTGTGTACTCAACTAAGAGAATTGAACCACCGTTTTGAAGGAGCAGTTTTGAAACACTCTTTTTCTGGAATCTGCAAGTGGATATTTAGCTAGCTTTGGGGATTTCGCTGGAAGCGGGAATACATATAAAAAGCACACAGCAGCGTTCTGAGAAACTGCTTTCTGATGTTTGCATTCAAGTCAAAAGTTGAACACTCCCTTTCATAGAGCAGTCCTGAAACACCCCTTTTGTAGTATCTGGAACTGGACTTTTGGAGCGATTTCAGGGCTAAGGTGAAAAAGGAAATATCTTCCCATAAAAACTGGACAGAAGCATTCTCAGAAACTTGTTTATGCTGTATCTACTCAACTAACAAAGTTGAACCTTTCTTTTGATAGAGCAGTTTTGAAATGCTCTTTTTGTGGAATCTGCAAGTGGATATTTGGCTAGTTTTGAGGATTTCGTTGGAAGCGGGAATTCATACAAATTGCAGACTGCAGCGTTCTGAGAAACATCTTTGTGATGTTTGTATTCAGGACAGAGAGTTGAACATTCCCTATCATAGAGCAGGTTGGAATCACTCCTTTTGTAGTATCTGGAAATGGACATTTGGAGCGCTTTCAGGCCTATGTTGAAAAAGGAAATATCTTCCCATAACAACTAGACACAAGCATTCTCAGAAACTTGTTTGTGATGTGTGCCCTCTACTGACAGAGTTGAACCTTTCTTTTCATAGAGCAGTTTTGAAACACTCTTTTTGTAGAATCTGCAAGAGGATATTTGCATAGCTTTGAGGATTACGTGGGAAACGGGATTGTCTTCAGGTAAAATCTAGACAGAAGCATTCTCAGAAACTTCTTTGGGATGTTTGCATTCAAGTCACAGAGTAGAACATTCCCTTTGGTAGAGCAGGTTTGAAACACTCTTTTTGTAGTATCTGGAAGTGGACATTTGGAGCGCTTTCAGGCCTATGTTGGAAAGGGAAATATCTTCCCGTAACAACTAGGCAGAAGCATTCTCAGAAACTTATTTGAGATGTGTGCACTCAACTAAGAGAATTGAACCACCGTTTTGAAGGAGCAGTTTTGAAACACTCTTTTTCTGGAATCTGCAAGAGGATATTTGCCTAGCTTTGAGGATTTCGTTGGAAACGGGATTGTGTTCAGATCAAATCTAGACAGAAGCAATCTCAGAAACTTCTTTGGGATGTTTGCATTCAAGTCACAGAGTAGAACATTCCCTTTGGTAGAGCAGGTTTGAAACACTCTTTTTTTAGTATATGGAAGTGGACATTTGGAGCGCTTTCAGGCCTACGTTGGAAAAGGAAATATCTTCCCATAACAACTAGACAGAAGCATTCTCAGAAACTAGTTTCTGATATGTGTCCTCAACTAACACAGTTGAACTTTTCTTTAGACAGAACAGTTTTGAAACACTCTTTTTGTGGAATCTGCAAGTGGTTATTGGGCTACATTTGAGGATTTCGTTGGAAACGGGATTACATATAAAAAACAGTCAGCAGCATTCTCAGAAAGTTCTTTGTGATGATTGCATTCAAGTCACAGAATTGAACATTCCCTTTCATAGAGCAGGTTTGAAACACTCTTTTTGTAGTGTGTGTAAGTGGACATTTGGAGCGCTTTCCGGCCTAAAGTGAAAAAGGACATATCTTCCCATAAAAACTAGACAGAAGCATTCTCAGAAACTTACTCGTGATGTGTGTCCTCAACTAAAGGAGTAGAACCTTTCTATTCATAGAGAAGTTTTGAAACGCTCTTTTTGTGGAATCTCCAAGTGGATATTTGGCTAGTTTTGAGGATTTCGTTGGAAGCGGGAATTCATACAAATTGCAGACTGCAGCGTTCTGAGAAACATCGTTGTGATGTTTGTATTCAGGACACAGAGTTGAACATTCCCTATCATAGAGCAGGTTTGAATCACTCCTTTTGTAGTATCTGGAAGTGGACATTTGGAGCGCTTTCCGTCCTATGTTGGAAAAGGAAATATCTTCCCATAACAACTAGACAGAAGCATTCTCAGAAACTTATTTGAGATGTGTGTACTCAACTAAGAGAATTGAACCACCGTTTTGAAGGAGCAGTTTTGAAACACTCTTTTTCTGGAATCTGCAAGTGGATATTTGGCTAGCTTTGGGGATTTCGCTGGAAGCGGGAATACATATAAAAAGCACACAGCAGCGTTCTGAGAAACTGCTTTCTGATGTTTGCATTCAAGTCAAAAGTTGAACACTCCCTTTCATAGAGCAGTCCTGAAACACTCCTTTGGTAGTATCTGGAACTGGACTTTTGGAGCGCTTTCAGGGCTAAGGTGAAAAAGGAAATATCTTCCCATAAAAACTGGACAGAAGCATTCTCAGAAACTTGTTTATGCTGTATCTACTCAACTAACAAAGTTGAACCTTTCTTTTGATAGAGCAGTTTTGAAATGCTCTTTTTGTGGAATCTGCAAGTGGATATTTGGCTAGTTTTGAGGATTTCGTTGGAAGCGGGAATTCATACAAATTGCAGACTGCAAGCGTTCTGAGAAACATCTTTGTGATGTTTGTATTCAAGACACAGAGATGAACATTCCCTATCATAGAGCATGTTGGAATCAGTCCTTTTGTAGTATCTGGAAGTGGACATTTGGAGCGCTTTCAGGCCTATGTTGAAAAAGGAAATATCTTCCCATAACAACTAGACACAAGCATTCTCAGAAACTTGTTTGTGATGTGTGCCCTCTACTGACAGAGTTGAACCTTTCTTTTCATAGAGCAGTTTTGAAACACTCTTTTTGTAGAATCTGCAAGAGGATATTTGCATAGCTTTGAGGATTTCGTGGGAAACGGGATTGTCTTCAGGTAAAATCTAGACAGAAGCATTCTCAGAAACTTCTTTGGGATGTTTGCATTCAAGTCACAGAGTAGAACATTCCCTTTGGTAGAGCAGGTTTGAAACACTCTTTTTGTAGTATCTGGAAGTGGACATTTGGAGCGCTTTCAGGCCCATGATGGAAAGGGAAATATCTTCCCGTAACAACTAGGCAGAAGCATTCTCAGAAACTTATTTGAGATGTGTGTACTCAACTAAGAGAATTGAACCACCGTTTTGAAGGAGCAGTTTTGAAACACTCTTTTTCTGGAATCTGCAAGAGTATATCTTCCTAGCTTTGTGGATTTCGTTGGAAACGGGATTGTCTTCAGATAAAATCTAGACAGAAGCATTCTCAGAAACTTCTTTGGGATGTTTGCATTCAAGTCACAGAGTAGAACATTCCCTTTGGTAGAGCAGGTTTGAAACACTCTTTTTTTAGTATATGGAAGTGGACATTTTGATCGCTTTCAGGCCTACGTTGGAAAAGGAAATATCTTCCCATAACAACTAGACAGAAGCATTCTCAGAAACTAGTTTCTGATGTGTGTCCTCAACTAACACAGTTGAACATTTCTTTAGACAGAACAGTTTTGAAACACTCTTTTTGTGGAATCTGCAAGTGGCTATTTGGCTGGATTTGAGGATTTCGTTGGAAACGGGATTACATATAAAAAGCAGTCAGCGGCATTCTCAGAAAGTTCTTTGTGATGATTGCATTCAAGTCACAGAATTGAACATTCCCTTTCACAGAGCAGGTTTGAAACACTCTTTTTGTAGTGTGTGTAAGTGGACATTTGGAGCACTTACCGGCCTAAGGTGAAAAAGGAAATAATCTTCCCATAAAAACTAGACAGAAGCATTCTCAGAAACTTACTCGTGATGTGTGTCCTCAACTAAAGGAGTAGAACCTTTCTTTTCATAGAGAAGTTTTGAAACGCTCTTTTTGTGGAATCTGCAAGTGGATATTTGGCTAGTTTGGAGGATTTCGTTGGAAGCGGGAATTCATACAAATTGCAGACTGCAGCGTTCTGAGAAACATCTTTGTGATGTTTGTATTCAGGACACAGAGTTGAACATTCCCTATCATAGAGCAGGTTTGAATCACTCCTTTTGTAGTATCTGGAAGTGGACATTTGGAGCGCTTTCAGGCCTATGTTGGAAAAGGAAATATCTTCCCATAACAACTAGACAGAAGCATTCTCAGAAACTTATTTGAGATGTGTGTACTCAACTAAGAGAATTGAACCACCGTTTTGAAGGAGCAGTTTTGAAACACTCTTTTTCTGGAATCTGCAAGTGGATATTTGGCTAGCTTTGGGGATTTCGCTGGAAGCGGGAATACATATAAAAAGCACACAGCAGCGTTCTGAGAAACTGCTTTCTGATGTTTGCATTCAAGTCAAAAGTTGAACACTCCCTTTCATAGAGCAGTCTTGAAACACCCCTTTTGTAGTATCTGGAACTGGAAATTTGGAGCGCTTTCAGGGCTAAGGTGAAAAAGGAAATATCTTCCCATAAAAACTGGACAGAAGCATTCTCAGAAACTTGTTTATGCTGTATCTACTCAACTAACAAAGTTGAACCTTTCTTTTGATAGAGCAGTTTTGAAATGCTCTTTTTGTGGAATCTGCAAGTGGATATTTGGCTAGGTTTGAGGATTTCGTTGGAAGCGGGAATTCATACAAATTGCAGACTGCAGCGTTCTGAGAAACATCTTTGTGATGTTTGTATTCAGGACACAGAGATGAACATTCCCTATCATAGAGCAGGTTGGAATCACTCCTTTTGTAGTATCTGGAAGTGGACATTTGGAGCGCTTTCAGGCCTATGTTGAAAAAGGAAATATCTTCCCATAACAACTAGACACAAGCATTCTCAGAAACTTGTTTGTGATGTGTGCCCTCTACTGACAGAGTTGAACCTTTCTTTTCATAGAGCAGTTTTGAAACACTCTTTTTGTAGAATCCGCAAGAGGATATTTGCATAGCTTTGAGGATTTCGTGGGAAACGGGATTGTCTTCAGGTAAAATCTAGACAGAAGCATTCTCAGAAACTTCTTTGGGATGTTTGCATTCAAGTCACAGAGTAGAACATTCCCTTTGGTAGAGCAGGTTTGAAACACTCTTTTTGTAGTATCTGGAAGTGGACATTTGGAGCGCTTTCAGGCCTATGTTGGAAAGGGAAATATCTTCCCGTAACAACTAGGCAGAAGCATTCTCAGAAACTTATTTGAGATGTGTGTCCTCAACTAAGAGAATTGAACCACCGTTTTGAAGGAGCAGTTTTGAAACACTCTTTTTCTGGAATCTGCAAGTGGATATTTGCCTAGCCTTGAGGATTTCGTTGGAAACGGGATTGTCTTCAGATCAAATCTAGACAGAAGCATTCTCAGAAACTTCTTTGGGATGTTTGCATTCAAGTCACAGAGTAGAACATTCCCTTTGGTAGAGCAGGTTTGAAACACTCTTTTTTTAGTATATGGAAGTGGACATTTGGAGCGCTTTCAGGCCTACGTTGGAAAAGGAAATATCTTCCCATAACAACTAGACAGAAGCATTCTCAGAAACTAGTTTCTGATGTGTGTCCTCAACTAACACAGTTGTACATTTCTTTATACAGAACAGTTTTGAAACACTCTTTTTTTGGAATCTGCAAGTGGATATTGGGCTAGATTTGAGGATTTCGTTGGAAACGGGATTACATTTAAAAAGCAGACAGCAGCATTCTCAGAAAGTTCTTTGGGATGATTGCATTCAAGTCACAGAATTGAACATTCCCTTTCACAGAGCAGGTTTGAAACACTCTTTTTGTAGTGTGTGTAAGTGGACATTTGGAGCGCTTTCCGGCCTAAGGTGAAAAAGGAAATATCTTCCCATAAAAACTAGACAGAAGCATTCTCAGAAAGTTACTCGTGATGTGTGTCCTCAACTAAAGAAGTAGAACCTTTCTTTTCATAGATAAGTTTTGAAACGCTCTTTTTGTGGAATCTGCAAGTGGATATTTGGCTAGTTTTGAGGATTTCGTTGGAAGCGGGAATTCATACAAATTGCAGACTGCAGCGTTCTGAGAAACATCTTTGTGATGTTTGTATTCAGGACACAGAGTTGAACATTCCCTATCATAGAGCAGGTTTGAATCACTCCTTTTGTAGTATCTGGAAGTGGACATTTGGAGCGCTTTCAGGCCTATGTTGGAAAAGGAAATATCTTCCCATAACAACTAGACAGAAGCATTCTCAGAAACTCATTTGAGATGTGTGTACTCAACTAAGAGAATTGAACCACCGTTTTGAAGGAGCAGTTTTGAAACACTCTTTTTCTGGAATCTGCAAGTGGATATTTGGCTAGCTTTGGGGATTTCGCTGGAAGCGGGAATACATATAAAAAGCACACAGCAGCGTTCTGAGAAACTGCTTTCTGATGTTTGCATTCAAGTCAAAAGTTGAACACTCCCTTTCATAGAGCAGTCCTGAAACACTCCTTTTGTAGTATCTGGAACTGGACTTTTGGAGCGCTTTCAGGGCTAAGGTGAAAAAGGAAATATCTTCCCATAAAAACTGGACAGAAGCATTCTCAGAAACTTGTTTATGCTGTATCTACTCAACTAACAAAGTTGAACCTTTCTTTTGATAGAGCAGTTTTGAAATGGTCTTTTTGTGGAATCTGCAAGTGGATATTTGGCTAGTTTTGAGGATTTCGTTGGAAGCGGGAATTCATACAAATTGCAGACTGCAGCGTTCTGAGAAACATCTTTGTGATGTTTGTATTCAGGACACAGAGTTGAACATTCCCTATCATAGAGCAGGTTGGAATCACTCCTTTTGTAGTATCTGGAAGTGGACATTTGGAGCGCTTTCAGGCCTATGTTGAAAAAGGAAATATCTTCCCATAACAACTAGACACAAGCATTCTCAGAAACTTGTTTGTGATGTGTGCCCTCTACTGACAGAGTTGAACCTTTCTTTTCATAGAGCAGTTTTGAAACACTCTTTTTGTAGAATCTGCAAGAGGATATTTGCATAGCTTTGAGGATTTCGTGGGAAACGGGATTGTCTTCAGGTAAAATCTAGACAGAAGCATTCTCAGAAACTTCTTTGGGATGTTTGCATTCAAGTCACAGAGTAGAACATTCCCTTTGGTAGAGCAGGTTTGAAACCCTCTTTTTGTAGTATCTGGAAGTGGACATTCGGAGCGCTATCAGGCCCATGTTGGAAAGGGAAATATCTTCCCGTAACAACTAGGCAGAAGCATTCTCAGAAACTTATTTGAGATGTGTGTACTCAACTAAGAGAATTGAACCACCGTTTTGAAGGAGCAGTTTTGAAACACTCTTTTTCTGGAATCTGCAAGAGGATATTTGCCTAGCCTTGAGGATTTCGTTGGAAACGGGATTGTCTTCAGAGAAAATCTAGACAGAAGCATTCTCAGAAACTTCTTTGGGATGTTTGCATTCAAGTCACAGAGTAGAACATTCCCTTTGGTAGAGCAGGTTTGAAACACTCTTTTTTTAGTATATGGAAGTGGACATTTGGAGCGCTTTCAGGCCTACGTTGGAAAAGGAAATATCTTCCCATAACAACTAGACAGAAGCATTCTCAGAAACTAGTTTCTGATTTGTGTCCTCAACTAACACAGTTGTACATTTCTTTAGACAGAACAGTTTTGAAACACTCTTTTTGTGGAATCTGCAAGTGGATATTGGGCTAGATTTGAGGATTTCGTTGGAAACGGGATTACATATAAAAAGCAGTCAGCAGCATTCTCAGAAAGTTCTTTGTGATGATTGCATTCAAGTCACAGAATTGAACATTCCCTTTCACAGAGCAGGTTTGAAACACTCTTTTTGTAGTGTGTGTAAGTGGACATTTGGAGCGCTTTCCGGCCTAAGGTGAAAAAGGACATATCTTACCATAAAAACCAGACAGAAGCATTCTCAGAAACTTACTCGTGATGTGTGTCCTCAACTAAAGGAGTAGAAACTTTCTATTCATAGAGAAGTTTTGAAACGCTCTTTTTGTGGAATCTCCAAGTGGATATTTGGCTAGTTTTGAGGATTTCGTTGGAAGCGGGAATTCATACAAATTGCAGACTGCAGCGTTCTGAGAAACATCGTTGTGATGTTTGTATTCAGGACACAGAGTTGAACATTCCCTATCATAGAGCAGGTTTGAATCACTCCTTTTGTAGTATCTGGAAGTGGACATTTGGAGCGCTTTCAGGCCTATGTTGGAAAAGGAAATATCTTCCCATAACAACTAGACAGAAGCATTCTCAGAAACTTATTTGAGATGTGTGTACTCAACTAAGAGAATTGAACCACCGTTTTGAAGGAGCAGTTTTGAAACACTCTTTTTCTGGAATCTGCAAGTGGATATTTGGCTAGCTTTGGGGATTTCGCTGGAAGCGGGAATACATATAAAAAGCACACAGCAGCGTTCTGAGAAACTGCTTTCTGATGTTTGCATTCAAGTCAAAAGTTGAACACTCCCTTTCATAGAGCAGTCCTGAAACACCCCTTTTGTAGTATCTGGAACTGGACTTTTGGAGCGATTTCAGGGCTAAGGTGAAAAAGGAAATATCTTCCCATAAAAACTGGACAGAAGCATTCTCAGAAACTTGGTTATGCTGTATCTACTCAACTAACAAAGTTGAACCTTTCTTTTGATAGAGCAGTTTTGAAATGGTCTTTTTGTGGAATCTGCAAGTGGATATTTGGCTAGTTTTGAGGATTTCGTTGGAAGCGGGAATTCATACAAATTGCAGACTGCAGCGTTCTGAGAAACATCTTTGTGATGTTTGTATTCAGGACACAGAGTTGAACATTCCCTATCATAGAGCAGGTTGGAATCACTCCTTTTGTAGTATCTGGAAGTGGACATTTGGAGCGCTTTCAGGCCTATGTTGGAAAAGGAAATATCTTCCCATAACAACTAGACAGAAGCATTCTCAGAAACTTATTTGAGATGTGTGTACTCAACTAAGAGAATTGAACCACCGTTTTGAAGGAGCAGTTTTGAAACACTCTTTTTCTGGAATCTGCAAGTGGATATTTGGCTAGCTTTGGGGATTTCGCTGGAAGCGGGAATACATATAAAAAGCACACAGCAGCGTTCTGAGAAACTGCTTTCTGATGTTTGCATTCAAGTCAAAAGTTGAACACTCCCTTTCATAGTGCAGTCCTGAAACACTCCTTTTGTAGTATCTGGAACTGGACTTTTGGAGCGCTTTCAGGGCTAAGGTGAAAAAGGAAATATCTTCCCATAAAAACTGGACAGAAGCATTCTCAGAAACTTGTTTATGCTGTATCTACTCAACTAACAAAGTTGAACCTTTCTTTTGATAGAGCAGTTTTGAAATGCTCTTTTTGTGGAATCTGCAAGTGGATATTTGGCTAGTTTTGAGGATTTCGTTGGAAGCGGGAATTCATACAAATTGCAGACTGCAGCGTTCTGAGAAACATCTTTGTGATGTTTGTATTCAGGACAGAGAGTTGAACATTCCCTATCATAGAGCAGGTTGGAATCACTCCTTTTGTAGTTTCTGGAAGTGGACATTTGGAGCGCTTTCAGGCCTATGTTGAAAAAGGAAATATCTTCCCATAACAACTAGACACAAGCATTCTCAGAAACTTGTTTGTGATGTGTGCCCTCTACTGACAGAGTTGAACCTTTCTTTTCATAGAGCAGTTTTGAAACACTCTTTTTGTAGAATCTGCAAGAGGATATTTGCATAGCTTTGAGGATTTCGTGGGAAACGGGATTGTCTTCAGGTAAAATCTAGACAGAAGCATTCTCAGAAAATTCCTCGGGATGTTTGCATTCAAGTCACAGAGTAGAACATTCCCTTTGTTAGAGCAGGTTTGAAACACTCTTTTTGTAGTATCTGGAAGTGGACATTTGGAGCGCTTTCAGGCCTATGTTGGAAAGGGAAATATCTTCCCGTAACAACTAGGCAGAAGCATTCTCAGAAACTAGTTTCTGATGTGTGTCCTCAACTAACACAGGTGAACATTTCTTTAGACAGAACAGTTTTGAAACACTCTTTTTGTGGAATCTGCAAGTGGATATTTGGCTAGATTTGAGGGTTTCGTTGGAAACGGGATTGTCTTCAGATCAAATCTAGACAGAAGCATTCTCAGAAACTTCTTTGGGATGTTTGCATTCAAGTCACAGAGTAGAACATTCCCTTTGGTAGAGCAGGTTTTAAACACTCTTTTTTTAGTATATGGAAGTGGACATTTGGAGCGCTTTCAGGCCTACGTTGGAAAAGGAAATATCTTCCCATAACAACTAGACAGAAGCATTCTCAGAAACTAGTTTCTGATGTGTGTCCTCAACGAACACAAGTGAACATTTCTTTAGACAGAACAGTTTTGAAACACTCTCTTTGTGGAATCTGCAAGTGGATATTTGGCTAGATTTGAGGATTTCGTTGGAAACGGGATTACGTATAAAAAGCAGACAGCAGCATTCTCAGAAACTTCTTTGTGATGATTGCATTCAAGTCACAGAATTGAACATTCCCTTTCACAGAGCAGGTTTGAAACACTCTTTTTGTAGTGTGTGTAAGTGGACATTTGGAGCACTTTCCGGCCTAAGGTGAAAAAGGAAATATCTTCCCATAAAAACTAGACAGAAGCATTCTCAGAAACTTACTCGTGATGTGTGTCCTCAACTAAAGGAGTAGAACCTTTCTTTTCATAGAGAAGTTTTGAAACCCTCTTTTTGTGGAATCTGCAAGTGGATATTTGGCTAGTTTTGAGGATTTCGTTGGAAGCGGGAATTCATACAAATTGCAGACTGCAGCGTTCTGAGAAACATCTTTGTGATGTTTGTATTCAGGACACAGAGTTGAACATTCCCTATCATAGAGCAGGTTTGAATCACTCCTTTTGTAGTATCTGGAAGTGGACATTTGGAGCGCTTTCAGGCCTATGTTGGAAAAGGAAATATCTTCCCATAACAACTAGACAGAAGCTTTCCCAGAAACTTATTTGAGATGTGTGTACTCAACTAAGAGAATTGAACCACCGTTTTGAAGGAGCAGTTTGGAAACACTCTTTTTCTGGAATCTGCAAGTGGATATTTGGCTAGCTTTGGGGATTTCGCTGGAAGCGGGAATACATATAAAAAGCACACAGCAGCGTTCTGAGAAACTGCTTTCTGATGTTTGCATTCAAGTCAAAAGTTGAACACTCCCTTTCATAGAGCAGTCTTGAAACACCCCTTTTGTAGTATCTGGAACTGGAAATTTGGAGCGCTTTCAGGGCTAAGGTGAAAAAGGAAATATCTTCCCATAAAAACTGGACAGAAGCATTCTCAGAAACTTGTTTATGCTGTATCTACTCAACTAACAAAGTTGAACCTTTCTTTTGATAGAGCAGTTTTGAAATGCTCTTTTTGTGGAATCTGCAAGTGGATATTTGGCTAGTTTTGAGGATTTTGTTGGAAGCGGGAATTCATACAAATTGCAGACTGCAGCGTTCTGAGAAACATCTTTGTGATGTTTGTATTCAAGACACAGAGATGAACATTCCCTATCATAGAGCATGTTGGAATCACTCCTTTTGTAGTATCTGGAAGTGGACATTTGGAGCGCTTTCAGGCCTATGTTGAAAAAGGAAATATCGTCCCATGCCAACTAGACACAAGCATTCTCAGAAACTTGTTTGTGATGTGTGCCCTCTACTGACAGAGTTGAACCTTTCTTTTCATAGAGCAGTTTTGAAACACTCTTTTTGTAGAATCCGCAAGAGGATATTTGCATAGCTTTGAGGATTTCGTGGGAAACGGGATTGTCTTCAGGTAAAATCTAGACAGAAGCATTCTCAGAAACTTCTTTGGGATGTTTGCATTCAAGTCACAGAGCAGAACATTCCCTTTGGTAGAGCAGGTTTGAAACACTCTTTTTGTAGTATCTGGAAGTGGACATTTGGAGCGCTTTCAGGCGTATGTTGGAAAGGGAAATATCTTCACGTAACAACTAGGCAGAAGCATTCTCAGAAAGTTATTTGAGATGTGTGTACTCAACTAAGAGAATTGAACCACCGTTTTCAAGGAGCAGTTTTGAAACACTCTTTCTCTGGAATCTGCAAGAGGATATTTGCCTAGCCTTGAGGATTTCGTTGGAAACGGGATTGTCTTCAGATCAAATCTAGACAGAAGCATTCTCAGAAACTTCTTTGGGATGTTTGCATTCAAGTCACAGAGTAGAACATTCCCTTTGGTAGAGCAGGTTTGAAACACTCTTTTTTTAGTATATGGAAGTGGACATTTGGAGCGCTTTCAGGCCTACGTTGGAAAAGGAAATATCTTCCCATAACAACTAGACAGAAGCATTCTCAGAAACTAGTTTCTGATGTGTGTCCTCAACTAACACAGTTGAACTTTTCTTTAGACAGAACAGTTTTGAAACACTCTTTTTGTGGAATCTGCAAGTGGATATTGGGCTAGATTTGAGGATTTCGTTGGAAACGGGATTACATATAAAAAGCAGACAGCAGCATTCTCAGAAAGTTCTTTGTGATGATTGCATTCAAGTCACAGAATTGAACATTCCCTTTCACAGAGCAGGTTTGAAACACTCTTTTTGTAGTGTGTGTAAGTGGACATTTGGAGCGCTTTCCGGCCTAAGGTGAAAAAGGACATATCTTCCCATAAAAACTAGACAGAAGCATTCTCAGAAACTTACTCGTGATGTGTGTCCTCAACTAAAGGAGTAGAACCTTTCTATTCATAGAGAAGTTTTGAAACGCTCTTTTTGTGGAATCTCCAAGTGGATATTTGGCTAGTTTTGAGGATTTCGTTGGAAGCGGGAATTCATACAAATTGCAGACTGCAGCGTTCTGAGAAACATCTTTGTGATGTTTGTATTCAGGACACAGAGATGAACATTCCCTATCATAGAGCATGTTGGAATCACTCCTTTTGTAGTATCTGGAAGTGGACATTTGGAGCGCTTTCAGGCCTATGTTGAAAAAGGAAATATCTTCCCATAACAACTAGACACAAGCATTCTCAGAAACTTATTTGAGATGTGTGTACTCAACTAAGAGAATTGAACCACCGTTTTGAAGGAGCAGTTTTGAAACTCTCTTTTTCTGGAATCTGCAAGTGGATATTTGGCTAGCTTTGGGGATTTCGCTGGAAGCGGGAATACATATAAAAAGCACACAGCAGCCGTTCTGAGAAACTGCTTTCTGATGTTTGCATTCAAGTCAAAAGTTGAACACTCCCTTTCATAGAGCAGTCTTGAAACACCCGTTTTGTAGTATCTGGAACTGGACTTTTGGAGCGATTTCAGGGCTAAGGTGAAAAAGGAAATATCTTCCCATAAAAACTGGACAGAAGCATTCTCAGAAACTTGTTTATGCTGTATCTACTCAACTAACAAAGTTGAACCTTTCTTTTGATAGAGCAGTTTTGAAATGGTCTTTTTGTGGAATCTGCAAGTGGATATTTGGCTAGTTTTGAGGATTTCGTTGGAAGCGGGAATTCATACAAATTGCAGACTGCAGCGTTCTGAGAAACATCTTTGTGATGTTTGTATTCAGGACAGAGAGTTGAACATTCCCTATCATAGAGCAGGTTGGAATCACTCCTTTTGTAGTATCTGGAAGTGGACATTTGGAGCACTTTCCGGCCTAAGGTGAAAAAGGAAATATCTTCCCATAACAACTAGACACAAGCATTCTCAGAAACTTACTCGTGATGTGTGTCCTCCACTAAATGAGTAGAACCTTTCTTTTCATAGAGAAGTTTTGAAACGCTCTTTTTGTAGAATCTGCAAGAGGATATTTGCATAGCTTTGAGGATTTCGTGGGAAACGGGATTGTCTTCAGGTAAAATCTAGACAGAAGCATTCTCAGAAACTTCTTTGGGATGTTTGCATTCAAGTCACAGAGTAGAACATTCCCTTTGGTAGAGCAGGTTTGAAACACTCTTTTTGTATTATCTGGAAGTGGACATTTGGAGCGCTTTCAGGCCTATGTTGGAAAGGGAAATATCTTCCCGTAACAACTAGGCAGAAGCATTCTCAGAAACTTATTTGAGATGTGTGTACTCAACTAAGAGAATTGAACCACCGTTTTGAAGGAGCAGTTTTGAAACACTCTTTTTCTGGAATCTGCAAGAGTATATTTGCCTAGCCTTGAGGATTTCGTTGGAAACGGGATTGTCTTCAGAGAAAATCTAGACAGAAGTATTCTCAGAAACTTCTTTGGGATGTTTGCAATCAAGTCACAGAGTAGAACATTCCCTTTGGTAGAGCAGGTTTGAAACACTCTTTTTGTAGTATCTGGAAGTGGACATTTGGAGCGCTTTCAGGCCTACGTTGGAAAAGGAAATATCTTCCCATAACAACTAGACAGAAGCATTCTCAGAAACTAGTTTCTGATGTGTGTCCTCAACTAACACAGTTGAACATTTCTTTAGACAGAACAGTTTTGAAACACTCTTTTTGTGGAATCTGCAAGTGGCTATTTGGCTAGATTTGAGGATTTCGTTGGAAACGGGATTACATATAAAAAGCAGTCAGCAGCATTCTCAGAAAGTTCTTTGTGATGATTGCATTCAAGTCACAGAATTGAACATTCCCTTTCACAGAGCAGGTTTGAAACACTCTTTTTGTAGTGTGTGTAAGTGGACATTTGGAGCGCTTTCCGGCCTAAGGTGAAAAAGGACATATCTTCCCATAAAAACTAGACAGAAGCATTCTCAGAAACTTACTCGTGATGTGTGTCCTCAACTAAAGGAGTAGAACCTTTCTATTCATAGAGAAGTTTTGAAACGCTCTTTTTGTGGAATCTCCAAGTGGATATTTGGCTAGTGTTGAGGATTTCGTTGGAAGCGGGAATTCATACAAATTGCAGACTGCAGCGTTCTGAGAAACATCTTTGTGATGTTTGTATTCAAGACACAGAGATGAACATTCCCTATCATAGAGCATGTTGGAATCACTCCTTTTGTAGTATCTGGAAGTGGACATTTGGAGCGCTTTCAGGCCTATGTTGAAAAAGGAAATATCTTCCCATAAAAACTAGACACAAGCATTCTCAGAAACTTGTTTGTGATGTGTGCCCTCTACTGACAGAGTTGAACCTTTCTTTTCATAGAGCAGTTTTGAAACACTCTTTTTGTAGAATCCGCAAGAGGATATTTGCATAGCTTTGAGGATTTCGTGGGAAACGGGATTGTCTTCAGGTAAAATACTAGACAGAAGCATTCTCAGAAACTTCTTTGGGATGTTTGCATTCAAGTCACAGAGTAGAACATTCCCTTTGGTAGAGCAGGTTTGAAACACTCTTTTTGTAGTATCTGGAAGTGGACATTTGGAGCGCTTTCAGGCCTATGTTGGAAAGGGAAATATCTTCCCGTAACAACTAGGCAGAAGCATTCTCAGAAACGTTTTTGAGATGTGTGTACTCAACTAAGAGAATTGAACCACCGTTTTGAAGGAGCAGTTTTGAAACCCTCTTTTTCTGGAATCTGCAAGAGTATATTTGCCTAGCCTTGAGGATTTCGTTGGAAACGGGATTGTCTTCAGATAAAATCTAGACAGAAGCATTCTCAGAAACTTCTTTGGGATGTTTGCATTCAAGTCACAGAGTAGAATATTCCCTTTGGTAGAGCAGGTTTGAAACACTCTTTTTTTAGTATATGGAAGTGGACATTTGGAGCGCTTTCAGGCCTACGTTGGAAAAGGAAATATCTTCCCATAACAACTAGACAGAAGCATTCTCAGAAACTAGTTTCTGATGTGTGTCCTCAACTAACACAGTTGTACATTTCTTTAGACAGAACAGTTTCGAAACACTCTTTTTGTGGAATCTGCAAGTGGATATTTGGCTAGATTTGAGGATTTCGTTGGAAACGGGATTACATATAAAAAGCAGACAGCAGCATTCTCAGAAAGTTCTTTGTGATGATTGCATTCAAGTCACAGAATTGAACATTCCCTTTCACAGAGCAGGTTTGAAACACTCTTTTTGTAGTGTGTGTAAGTGGACATTTGGAGCGCTTTCCGGCCTAAGGTGAAAAAGGAAATATCTTCCCATAAAAACTAGACAGAAGCATTCTCAGAAACTTACTCGTGATGTGTGTCCTCAACTAAAGGAGTAGAACCTTTCTATTCATAGAGAAGTTTTGAAACGCTCTTTTTGTGGAATCTCCAAGTGGATATTTGGCTAGTTTTGAGGATTTCGTTGGAAGCGGGAATTCATAAAAATTGCAGACTGCAGCGTTCTGAGAAACATCTTTGTGATGTTTCTATTCAGGACACAGAGATGAACATTCCCTATCATAGAGCAGGTTGGAATCACTCCCTTTGTAGTATCTGGAAGTGGACATTTGGAGCGCTTTCAGGCCTATGTTGAAAAAGGAAATATCTTCCCATAACAACTAGACACAAGCATTCTCAGAAACTTATTTGAGATGTGTGTACTCAACTAAGAGAATTGAACCACCGTTTTGAAGGAGCAGTTTTGAAACACTCTTTTTCTGGAATCTGCAAGTGGATATTTGGCTAGCTTTGGGGATTTCGCTGGAGGCGGGAATACATATAAAAAGCACACAGCAGCGTTCTGAGAAACTGCTTTCTGATGTTTGCATTCAAGTCAAAAGTTGAACACTCCCTTTCATAGAGCAGTCCTGAAACACTCCTTTTGTAGTATCTGGAACTGGACTTTTGGAGCGCTTTCAGTGCTAAGGTGAAAAAGGAAATATCTTCCCATAAAAACTGGACAGAAGCATTCTCAGAAACTTGTTTATGCTGTATCTACTCAACTAACAAAGTTGAACCTTTCTTTTGATAGAGCAGTTTTGAAATGCTCTTTTTGTGGAATCTGCAAGTGGATATTTGGCTAGTTTTGAGGATTTCGTTGGAAGCGGGAATTCATACAAATTGCAGACTGCAGCGTTCTGAGAAACATCTTTGTGATGTTTGTATTCAAGACACAGAGTTGAACATTCCCTATCATAGAGCAGGTTGGAATCACTCCTTTTGTAGTATCTGGAAGTGGACATTTGGAGTGCTTTCAGGCCTATGTTGGAAAAGGAAATATCTTCCCATAACAACTAGACAGAAGCATTCTCAGAAACTTGTTTGTGATGTGTGCCCTCTACTGACAGAGTTGAACCTTTCTTTTCATAGAGCAGTTTTGAAACACTCTTTTTGTAGAATCTGCAAGAGGATATTTGCATAGCTTTGAGGATTTCGTGGGAAACGGGATTGTCTTCAGGTAAAATCTAGACAGAAGCATTCTCAGAAACTTCTTTGGGATGTTTGCATTCAAGTCACAGAGTAGAACATTCCCTTTGGTAGAGCAGGTTTGAAACACTCTTTTTGTAGTATCTGGAAGTGGACATTTGGAGCGCTTTCAGGCCCATGCTGGAAAGGGAAATATCTTCCCGTAACAACTAGGCAGAAGCATTCTCAGAAACTTATTTGAGATGTGTGTACTCAACTAAGAGAATTGAACCACCGTTTTGAAGGAGCAGTTTTGAAACACTCTTTTTCTGGAATCTGCAAGAGGATATTTGCCTAGCCTTGAGGATTTCGTTGGAAACGGGATTGTCTACAGATCAAATCTAGACAGAAGCATTCTCAGAAACTTCTTTGGGATGTTTGCATTCAAGTCACAGAGTAGAACATTCCCTTTGGTAGAGCAGGTTTGAAACACTCTTTTTTTAGTATATGGAAGTGGACATTTGGAGCGCTTTCAGGCCTACGTTGGAAAAGGAAATATCTTCCCATAACAACTAGACAGAAGCATTCTCAGAAACTAGTTTCTGATGTGTGTCCTCAACTAACACAGTTGAACATTTCTTTAGACAGAACAGTTTTGAAACACTCTTTTTGTGGAATCTGCAAGTGGCTATTTGGCTAGATTTGAGGATTTCGTTGGAAACGGGATTACATATAAAAAGCAGACAGCAGCATTCTCAGAAAGTTCTTTGTGATGATTGCATTCAAGTCACAGAATTGAACATTCCCTTTCACAGAGCAGGTTTGAAACACTCTTTTTGTAGTGTGTGTAAGTGGACATTTGGAGCACTTTCCGGCCTAAGGTGAAAAAGGAAATATCTTCCCATAAAAACTAGACAGAAGCATTCTCAGAAACTTACTCGTGATGTGTGTCCTCAACTAAAGGAGTAGAACCTTTGTTTTCATAGAGAAGTTTTGAAACGCTCTTTTTGTGGAATCTGCAAGTGGATATTTGTCTAGTTTTGAGGATTTCGTTGGAAGCGGGAATTCATACAAATTGCAGACTGCAGCGTTCTGAGAAACATCTTTGTGATGTTTGTATTCAGGACACAGAGTTGAACATTCCCTATCATAGAGCAGGTTTGAATCACTCCTTTTGTAGTATCTGGAAGTGGACATTTGGAGCGCTTTCAGGCCTATGTTGGAAAAGGAAATATCTTCCCATAACAACTAGACAGAAGCATTCTCAGAAACTTATTTGAGATGTGTGTACTCAACTAAGAGAATTGAACCACCGTTTTGAAGGAGCAGTTTTGAAACACTCTTTTTCTGGAATCTGCAAGTGGATATTTGGCTAGCTTTGGGGATTTCGCTGGAGGCGGGAATACATATAAAAAGCACACAGCAGCGTTCTGAGAAACTGCTTTCTGATGTTTGCATTCAAGTCAAAAGTTGAACACTCCCTTTCATAGAGCAGTCCTGAAACACTCCTTTTGTAGTATCTGGAACTGGACTTTTGGAGCGCTTTCAGGGCTAAGGTGAAAAAGGAAATATCTTCCCATAAAAACTGGACAGAAGCATTCTCAGAAACATGTTTATGCTGTATCTACTCAACTAACAAAGTTGAACCTTTCTTTTGATAGAGCAGTTTTGAAATGCTCTTTTTGTGGAATCTGCAAGTGGATATTTGGCTAGTTTTGAGGATTTCGTTGGAAGCTGGAATTCATACAAATTGCAGACTGCAGCGTTCTGAGAAACATCTTTGTGATGTTTGTATTCAGGACACAGAGTTGAACATTCCCTATCATAGAGCAGGTTGGAATCACTCCTTTTGTAGTATCTGGAAGTGGACATTTGGAGCGCTTTCAGGCCTATTTTGGAAAGGGAAATATCTTCCCGTAACAACTATGCAGAAGCATTCTCAGAAACTTGTTTGTGATGTGTGCCCTCTACTGACAGAGTTGAACCTTTCTTTTCATAGAGCAGTTTTGAAACACTCTTTTTGTAGAATCTGCAAGAGGATATTTGCATAGCTTTGAGGATTTCGTGGGAAACGGGATTGTCTTCAGGTAAAATCTAGACAGAAGCATTCTCAGAAACTTCTTTGGGATGTTTGCATTCAAGTCACAGAGTAGAACATTCCCTTTGGTAGAGCAGGTTTGAAACACTCTTTTTGTAGTATCTGGAAGTGGACATTTGGAGCGCTTTCAGGCCTATGTTGGAAAGGGAAATATCTTCCGGTAACAACTAGGCAGAAGCATTCTCAGAAACTTATTTGAGATGTGTGTACTCAACTAAGAGAATTGAACCACCGTTTTGAAGGAGCAGTTTTGAAACACTCTTTTTCTGGAATCTGGAAGAGGATATTTGCCTAGCCTTGAGGATTTCGTTGGAAACGGGATTGTCTTCAGATCAAATCTAGACAGAAGCATTCTCAGAAACTTCTTTGGGATGTTTGCATTCAAGTCACAGAGTAGAACATTCCCTTTGGTAGAGCAGGTTTGAAACACTCTTTTTTTAGTATATGGAAGTGGACATTTGGAGCGCTTTCAGGCCTACGTTGGAAAAGGAAATATCTTCCCATAACAACTAGACAGAAGCATTCTCAGAAACTAGTTTCTGATGTGTGTCCTCAACTAACACTGTTGTACATTTCTTTAGACAGAACAGTTTTGAAACACTCTTTTTGTGGAATCTGCAAGTGGATACTGGGCTAGATTTGAGGATTTCGTTGGAAACGGGATTACATATAAAAAGCAGTCAGCAGCATTCTCAGAAAGTTCTTTGTGATGATTGCATTCAAGTCACAGAATTGAACATTCCCTTTCACAGAGCAGGTTTGAAACACTCTTTTTGTAGTGTGTGTAAGTGGACATTTGGAGCGCTTTCCGGCCTAAGGTGAAAAAGGACATATCTTCCCATAAAAACTAGACAGAAGCATTCTCAGAAACTTACTCGTGATGTGTGTCCTCAACTAAAGGAGTAGAACCTTTCTATTCATAGAGAAGTTTTGAAACGCTCTTTTTGTGGAATCTCCAAGTGGATATTTGGCTAGTTTTGAGGATTTCGTTGGAAGCGGGAATTCATACAAATTGCAGACTGCAGCGTTCTGAGAAACATCTTTGTGATGTTTGTATTCAGGACACAGAGATGAACATTCCCTATCATAGAGCAGGTTGGAATCACTCCTTTTGTAGTATGTGGAAGTGGACATTTGGAGCGCTTTCAGGCCTATGTTGAAAAAGGAAATATCTTCCCATAACAACTAGACACAAGCATTCTCAGAAACTTGTTTGTGATGTGTGCCCTCTACTGACAGAGTTGAACCTTTCTTTTCATAGAGCAGTTTTGAAACACTCTTTTTGTAGAATCCGCAAGAGGATATTTGCATAGCTTTGAGGATTTCGTGGGAAACGGGATTGTCTTCAGGTAAAATCTAGACAGAAGCATTCTCAGAAACTTCTTTGGGATGTTTGCATTCAAGTCACAGAGTAGAACATTCCCTTTGGTAGAGCAGGTTTGAAACACTCTTTTTGTAGTATCTGGAAGTGGACATTTGGAGCGCTTTCAGGCCTATGTTGGAAAGGGAAATATCTTCCCGTAACAACTAGGCAGAAGCATTCTCAGAAACTTATTTGAGATGTGTGTACTCAACTAAGAGAATTGAATCACCGTTTTGAAGGAGCAGTTTTGAAACACTCTTTTTCTGGAATCTGCAAGAGTATATTTGCCTAGCCTTGAGGATTTCGTTGGAAAAGGGATTGTCTTTAGATCAAATCTAGACAGAAGCATTCTCAGAAACTTCTTTGGGATGTTTGCATTCAAGTCACAGAGTAGAACATTCCCTTTGGTACAGCAGGTTTGAAACACTCTTTTTTTAGTATATGGAAGTGGACATTTGGAGCGCTTTCAGGCCTACGTTGGAAAAGGAAATATCTTCCCATAACAACTAGACAGAAGCATTCTCAGAAACTAGTTTCTGATGTGTGTCCTCAACTAACACAGTTGAACATTTCTTTAGACAGAACAGTTTTGAAACACTCTTTTTGTGGAATCTGCAAGTGGCTATTTGGCTAGATTTGAGGATTTCGTTGGAAACGGGATTACATATAAAAAGCAGACAGCAGCATTCTCAGAAAGTTCTTTGTGATGATTGCATTCAAATCACAGAATTGAACATTCCCTTTCACAGAGGAGGTTTGAAACACTCTTTTTGTAGTGTGTGTAAGTGGACATTTGGAGCGCTTTCCGGCCTAAGGTGAAAAAGGAAATATCTTCCCATAAAAACTAGACAGAAGCATTCTCAGAAACTTACTCGTGATGTGTGTCCTCAACTAAAGGAGTAGAACCTTTCTTTTCATAGAGAAGTTTTGAAACGCTCTTTTTGTGGAATCTGCAAGTGGATATTTGGCTAGTTTTGAGGATTTTGTTGGAAGCGGGAATTCATACAAATTGCAGACTGCAGCGTTCTGAGAAACATCTTTGTGATGTTTGTATTCAGGACACAGAGTTGAACATTCCCTATCATAGAGCAGGTTTGAATCACTCCTTTTGTAGTATCTGGAAGTGGACATTTGGAGCGCTTTCAGGCCTATGTTGGAAAAGGAAATATCTTCCCATAACAACTAGACAGAAGCATTCTCAGAAACTTATTTTTGATGTGTGCCCTCTACTGACAGAGTTGAACCTTTCTTTTCATAGAGCAGTTTCGAAACACTCTTTTTGTAGAATCTGCAAGAGGATATTTGCATAGCTTTGAGGATTTCTTGGGAAACGGGATTGTCTTCAGGTAAAATCTAGACAGAAGCATTCTCAGAAACTTCTTTGGGATGTTTGCATTCAAGACACAGAGTAGAACATTCCCTTTGGTAGAGCAGGTTTGAAACACTCTTTTTGTAGTATCTGGAAGTGGACATTTGGAGCGCTTTCAGGCCCATGTTGGAAAGGGAAATATCTTCCCGTAACAACTAGGCAGAAGCATTCTCAGAAACTTATTTGAGATGTGTGTACTCAACTAAGAGAATTGAACCACCGTTTTGAAGGAGCAGTTTTGAAACACTCTTTTTCTGGAATCTGCAAGAGTATATTTGCCTAGCCTTGAGGATTTCGTTGGAAACGGGATTGTCTTCAGATAAAATCTAGACAGAAGCATTCTCAGAAACTTCTTTGGGATGTTTGCATTCAAGTCACAGAGTAGAACATTCTCTTTGGTAGAGCAGGTTTGAAACACTCTTTTTTTAGTATCTGGAAGTGGACATTTGGAGCGCTTTCAGGCCTACGTTGGAAAAGGAAATATCTTCCCATAACAACTAGACAGAAGCATTCTCAGAAACTAGTTTCTGATGTGTGTCCTCAACTAACACAGTTGAACATTTCTTTAGACAGAACAGTTTTGAAACACTCTTTTTGTGGAATCTGCAAGTGGATATTTGGCTAGATTTGAGGATTTCGTTGGAAACGGGATTACATATAAAAAGCAGACAGCAGCATTCTCAGAAACTTCTTTGTGATGATTGCATTCAAGTCACAGAATTGAACATTCCCTTTCACAGAGCAGGTTTGAAACACTCTTTTTGTAGTGTGTGTAAGTGGACATTTGGAGCGCTTTCCGGCCTAAGGTGAACAAGGAAATATCTTCCCATAAAAACTAGACAGAAGCATTCTCAGAAACTTACTCGTGATGTGTGTCCTCAACTAAAGGAGTAGAACCTTTCTTTTCATAGAGAAGTTTTGAAACGCTCTTTTTGTGGAATCTGCAAGTGGATATTTGGCTAGTTTGGAGGATTTCGTTGGAAGCGGGAATTCATACAAGATGCAGACTGCAGCGTTCTGAGAAACATCTTTGTGATGTTTGTATTCAGGACACAGAGTTGAACATTCCCTATCATAGAGCAGGTTTGAATCACTCCTTTTGTAGTATCTGGAAGTGGACATTTGGAGCGCTTTCAGGCCTATGTTGGAAAAGGAAATATCTTCCCATAACAACTAGACAGAAGCATTCCCAAAAACTTATTTGAGATGTGTGTACTCAACTATGAGAATTGAACCACCGTTTTGAAGGAGCAGTTTGGAAACACTCTTTTTCTGGAATCTGCAAGTGGATATTTGGCTAGCTTTGGGGATTTCGCTGGAAGCGGGAATACATATAAAAAGCACACAGCAGCGTTCTGAGAAACTGCTTTCTGATGTTTGCATTCAAGTCAAAAGTTGAACACTCCCTTTCATAGAGCAGTCTTGAAACACCCCTTTTGTAGTATCTGGAACTGGACTTTTGGAGCGATTTCAGGGCTAAGGTGAAAAAGGAAATATCTTCCCATAAAAACTGGACAGAAGCATTCTCAGAAACTTGTTTATGCTGTATCTACTCTACTAACAAAGTTGAACCTTTCTTTTGATAGAGCAGTTTTGAAATGCTCTTTTTGTGGAATCTGCAAGTGGATATTTGGCTAGTTTTGAGGATTTCGTTGGAAGCTGGAATTCATGCAAATTGCAGACTGCAGCGTTCTGAGAAACATCTTTGTGATGTTTGTATTCAGGACACAGAGATGAACATTCCCTATCATAGAGCAGGTTGGAATCACTCCTTTTGTAGTATCTGGAAGTGGACATTTGGAGCGCTTTCAGGCCTATGTTGAAAAAGGAAATATTTTCCCATAACAACTAGACACAAGCATTCTCAGAAACTTGTTTGTGATGTGTGCCCTCTACTGACAGAGTTGAACCTTTCTTTTCATAGAGCAGTTTTGAAACACTCTTTTTGTAGAATCTGCAAGAGGATATTTGCATAGCTTTGAGGATTTCGTGGGAAACGGGATTGTCTTCAGGTAAAATCTAGACAGAAGCATTCTCAGAAACTTCTTTGGGATGTTTACATTCAAGTCACAGAGTAGAACATTCCCTTTGGTAGAGCAGGTTTGAAACCCTCTTTTTGTAGTATCTGGAAGTGGACATTTGGAGCGCTTTCTGGCCCATGTTGCAAAGGGAAATATCTTCCCGTAACAACTAGGCAGAAGCATTCTCAGAAACTTATTTGAGATGTGTGTACTCAACTAAGAGAATTGAACCACCGTTTTGAAGGAGCAGTTTTGAAACACTCTTTTTCTGGAATCTGCAAGAGTATATTTGCCTAGCCTTGAGGATTTCGTTGGAAACGGGATTGTCTTCAGATAAAATCTAGACAGAAGCATTCTCAGAAACTTCTTTGGGATGTTTGCATTCAAGTCACAGAGTAGAACATTCCCTTTAGTAGAGCAGGTTTGAAACACTCTTTTTTTAGTATATGGAAGTGGACATTTGGAGCGCTTCCAGGCCTACGTTGGAAAAGGAAATATCTTCCCATAACAACTAGACAGAAGCATTCTCAGAAACTAGTTTCTGATGTGTGTCCTCAACTAACACAGTTGAACATTTCTTTAGACAGAACAGTTTTGAAACACTCTTTTTGTGGAATCTGCAAGTGGCTATTTGGCTAGATTTAAGGATTTCGTTGGAAACGGGATTACATATAAAAAGCACTCAGCAGCATTCTCAGAAAGTTCTTTGTGATGATTGCATTCAAGTCACAGAATTGAACATTCCCTTTCACAGAGCAGGTTTGAAACACTCTTTTTGTAGTGTGTGTAAGTGGACATTTGGAGCACTTACCGGCCTAAGGTGAAAAAGGAAGTATCTTCCCATAAAAACTAGACAGAAGCATTCTCAGAAACTTACTCGTGATGTGTGTCCTCAACTAAAGGAGTAGAACCTTTCTTTTCATAGAGAAGTTTTGAAACGCTCTTTTTGTGGAATCTGCAAGTCGATATTTGGCTAGTTTTGAGGATTTCGTTGGAAGCGGGAATTCATACAAATTGCAGACTGCAGCGTTCTGAGAAACATCTTTGTGATGTTTGTATTCAGGACACAGAGTTGAACATTCCCTATCATAGAGCAGGTTGGAATCACTCCTTTTGTAGTATCTGGAAGTGGACATTTGGAGCGCTTTCAGGCCTATGTTGGAAAAGGAAATATCTTCCCATAACAACTAGACAGAAGCATTCTCAGAAACTTATTTGAGATGTGTGTACTCAACTAAGAGAATTGAACCACCGTTTTGAAGGAGCAGTTTTGAAACACTCTTTTTCTGGAATCTGCAAGTGGATATTTGGCTAGCTTTGGGGATTTCGCTGGAAGCGGGAATACATATAAAAAGCACACAGCAGCGTTCTGAGAAACTGCTTTCTGATGTTTGCATTCAAGTCAAAAGTTGAACACTCCCTTTCATAGAGCAGTCTTGAAACACCCCTTTTGTAGTATCTGGAACTGGACTTTTGGAGCGCTTTCAGGGCTAAGGTGAAAAAGGAAATATCTTCCCATAAAAACTGGACAGAAGCATTCTCAGAAACTTGTTTATGCTGTATCTACTCAACTAACAAAGTTGAACCTTTCTTTTGATAGAGCAGTTTTGAAATGCTCTTTTTGTGGAATCTGCAAGTGGATATTTGGCTAGTTTTGAGGATTTCGTTGGGAGCGGGAATTCATACAAATTGCAGACTGCAGCGTTCTGAGAAACATCTTTGTGATGTTTGTATTCAGGACACAGAGATGAACATTACCTATCATAGAGCAGGTTGGAATCACTCCTTTTGTAGTATCTGGAAGTGGACATTTGGAGCGCTTTCAGGCCTATGTTGAAAAAGGAAATATCTTCCCATAACAACTAGTCACAAGCATTCTCAGAAACTTGTTTGTGATGTGTGCCCTCTACTGACAGAGTTGAACCTTTCTTTTCATAGAGCAGTTTTGAAACACTCTTTTTGTAGAATCTGCAAGAGGATATTTGCATAGCTTTGAGGATTTCGTGGGTAACGGGATTGTCTTCAGGTAAAATCTAGACAGAAGCATTCTCAGAAACTTCTTTGGGATGTTTGCATTCAAGTCACAGAGTAGAACATTCCCTTTGGTAGAGCAGGTTTGAAACCCTCTTTTTGTAGTATCTGGAAGTGGACATTTGGAGCGCTTTCAGGCCCATGTTGGAAAGGGAAATATCTTCCCGTAACAACTAGGCAGAAGCATTCTCAGAAACTTATTTGAGATGTGTGTACTCAACTAAGAGAATTGAACCACCGTTTTCAAGGAGCAGTTTTGAAACACTCTTTTTATGGAATCTGCAAGAGTATATTTGCCTAGCCTTGAGGATTTCGTTGGAAACGGGATTGTCTTCAGATAAAATCTAGACAGAAGCATTCTCAGAAACTTCTTTGGGATGTTTGCACTCAAGTCACAGAGTAGAATATTCCCTTTGGTAGAGCAGGTTTGAAACACTCTTTTTTTAGTATATGGAAGTGGACATTTGGAGCGCTTTCAGGCCTACGTTGGAAAAGGAAATATCTTCCCATAACAACTAGACAGAAGCATTCTCAGAAACTAGTTTCTGATGTGTGTCCTCAACTAACACAGTTGAACTTTTCTTTAGACAGGACAGTTTTGAAACACTCTTTTTGTGGAATCTGCAAGTGGATATTTGGCTAGATTTGAGGATTTCGTTGGAAACGGGATTACATATAAAAAGCAGACAGCAGCATTCTCAGAAAGTTCTTTGTGATGATTGCATTCAAGTCACAGAATTGAACATTCCCTTTCACAGAGCAGGATTGAAACACTCTTTTTGTAGTGTGTGTAAGTGGACATTTGGAGCGCTTTCCGGCCTAAAGTGAAAAAGGAAATATCTTCCCATAAAAACTAGACAGAAGCATTCTCAGAAACTTACTCGTGATGTGTGTCCTCAACTAAAGGAGTAGAACCTTTCTATTCATAGAGAAGTTTTGAAACGCTCTTTTTGTGGAATCTCCAAGTGGATATTTGGCTAGTTTTGAGGATTTCGTTGGAAGCGGGAATTCATACAAATTGCAGACTGCAGCGTTCTGAGAAACATCTTTGTGATGTTTGTATTCAGGACACAGAGATGAACATTCCCTATCATAGAGCAGGTTGGAATCACTCCTTTTGTAGTATCTGGAAGTGGACATTTGGAGCGCTTTCAGGCCTATGTTGAAAAAGGAAATATCTTCCCATAACAACTAGACACAAGCATTCTCAGAAACTTATTTGAGATGTGTGTACTCAACTAAGAGAATTGAACCACCGTTTTGAAGGAGCAGTTTTGAAACACTCTTTTTCTGGAATCTGCAAGTGGATATTTGGCTAGCTTTGGGGATTTCGCTGGAAGCGGGAATACATATAAAAAGCACACAGCAGCGTTCTGAGAAACTTCTTTCTGATGTTCGCATTCAAGTCAAAAGTTGAACACTCCCTTTCATAGAGCAGTCTTGAAACTCCCCTTTTGTGGTATCTGGAAGTGGACATTTGGAGTGCTTTCAGGGCTAAGGTGAAAAAGGAAATATCTTCCCATAAAAACTGGACAGAAGCATTCTCAGAAACTTGTTTATGCTGTATCTACTCAGCTAACAAAGTTGAACCTTTCTTTTGATAGAGCAGTTTTGAAATGCTCTTTTTGTGGAGTCTGCAAGTGGATATTTGGTTAGTTTGGAGGATTTCGTTGGAAGCGGGAATTCATACAAATTGCAGACTGCAGCGTTCTGAGAAACATCTTTGTGATGTTTGTATTCAGGACAGAGAGTTGAACATTCCCTATCATAGAGCAGGTTGGAATCACTCCTTTTGTAGTATCTGGAAGTGGACATTTGGAGCGCTTTCAGGCCTATTTTGGAAAGGGAAATATCTTCCCGTAACAACTATGCAGAAGCATTCTCAGAAACTTGTTTGTGATGTGTGCCCTCTACTGACAGAGTTGAACCTTTCTTTTCATAGAGCAGTTTTGAAACACTCTTTTTGTAGAATCCGCAAGAGGATATTTGCATAGCTTTGAGGATTTCGTGGGAAACGGGATTGTCTTCAGGTAAAATCTAGACAGAAGCATTCTCAGAAACTTCTTTGGGATGTTTGCATTCAAGTCACAGAGTAGAACATTCACTTTGGTAGAGCAGGTTTGAAACACTCTTTTTGTAGTGTGTGTAAGTGGACATTTGGAGCGCTTTCAGGCCTATGTTGGAAAGGGAAATATCTTCCCGTAACAACTAGGCAGAAGCATTCTCAGAAACTTATTTGAGATGTGTGTACTCAACTAAGGGAATTGAACCACCGTTTTGAAGGAGCAGTTTTGAAACACTCTTTTTCTGGAATCTGCAAGAGGATATTTGCCTAGCCTTGAGGATTTCGTTGGAAACGGGATTGTCTTCAGATCAAATCTAGACAGAAGCATTCTCAGAAACTTCTTTGGGATGTTTGCATTCAAGTCACAGAGTAGAACATTCCCTTTGGTAGAGCAGGTTTGAAACACTCTTTTTTTAGTATATGGAAGTGGACATTTGGAGCGCTTTCAGGCCTACGTTGGAAAAGGAAATATCTTCCCATAACAACTAGACAGAAGCATTCTCAGAAACTAGTTTCTGATGTGTGTCCTCAACTAACACAGTTGAACTTTTCTTTAGACAGAACAGTTTTGAAACACTCTTTTTGTGGAATCTGCAAGTGGATATTGGGCTAGATTTGAGGATTTCGTTGGAAACGGGATTACATATAAAAAGCAGACAGCAGCATTCTCAGAAAGTTCTTTGTGATGATTGCATTCAAGTCACAGAATTGAACATTCCCTTTCACAGAGCAGGGTTGAAACACGCTTTTTGTAGTGTGTGTAAGTGGACATTTGGAGTGCTTTCCGGCCTAAGGTGAAAAAGGAAATATCTTCCCATAAAAACTAGACAGAAGCATTCTCAGAAACTTACTCGTGATGTGTGTCCTCAACTAAAAGATAGAACCTTTCTATTCATAGAGAAGTTTTGAAACGCTCTTTTTGTGGAATCTCCAAGTGGATATTTGGCTAGTTTTGAGGATTTCGTTGGAAGCGGGAATTCATACAAATTGCAGACTGCAGCGTTCTGAGAAACATCTTTGGATGTTTGTATTCAGGACACAGAGTTGAACATTCCCTATCATAGAGCAGGTTGGAATCACTCCTTTTGTAGTATCTGGAAGTGGACATTTGGAGCGTTTTCAGGCCTATGTTGAAAAAGGAAATATCTTCCCATAACAACTAGACAGAAGCATTCTCAGAAACTTATTTGAGATGTGTGTACTCAACTAAGAGAATTGAACCACCGTTTTGAAGGAGCAGTTTTGAAACACTCTTTTTCTGGAATCTGCAAGTGGATATTTGGCTAGATTTGAGGATTTCGTTGGAAACGGGATTACATATAAAAAGCAGACAGCAGCGTTCTGAGAAACTGCTTTCTGATGTTTGCATTCAAGTCAAAAGTTGAACACTCCCTTTCATAGAGCAGTCTTGAAACACCCCTTTTGTAGTATCTGGAACTGGACTTTTGGAGCGATTTCAGGGCTAAGGTGAAAAAGGAAATATCTTCCCATAAAAACTGGACAGAAGCATTCTCAGAAACTTGTTTATGCTGTATCTACTCAACTAACAAAGTTGAACCTTTCTTTTGATAGAGCAGTTTTGAAATGGTCTTTTTGTGGAATCTGCAAGTGGATATTTGGCTAGTTTTGAGGATTTCGTTGGAAGCGGGAATTCATACAAATTGCAGACTGCAGCGTTCTGAGAAACATCTTTGTGATGTTTGTATTCAAGACACAGAGATGAACATTCCCTATCATAGAGCAGGTTGGAATCACTCCTTTTGTAGTATCTGGAAGTGGACATTTGGAGCGCTTTCAGGCCTATGTTGAAAAAGGAAATATCTTCCCATAACAACTAGACACAAGCATTCTCAGAAACTTGTTTGTGATGTGTGCCCTCTACTGACAGAGTTGAACCTTTCTTTTCATAGAGCAGTTTTGAAACACTCTTTTTGTAGAATCTGCAAGAGGATATTTGCATAGCTTTGAGGATTTCGTGGGAAACGGGATTGTCTTCTGGTAAAATCTAGACAGAAGCATTCTCAGAAACTTCTTTGGGATGTTTGCATTCAAGTCACAGAGTAGAACATTCCCTTTGGTAGAGCAGGTTTGAAACACTCTTTTTGTAGTATCTGGAAGTGGACATTTGGAGCGCTTTCAGGCCTATGTTGGAAAGGGAAATATCTTCCCGTAACAACTAGGCAGAAGCATTCTCAGAAACTTATTTGAGATGTGTGTACTCAACTAAGAGAATTGAACCACCGTTTTGAAGGAGCAGTTTTGAAACACTCTTTTTCTGGAATCTGCAAGAGGATATTTGCCTAGCCTTGAGGATTTCGTTGGAAACGGGATTGTCTTCAGATCAAATCTAGACAGAAGCATTCTCAGAAACTTCTTTGGGATGTTTGCATTCAAGTCACAGAGTAGAACATTCCCTTTGGTAGAGCAGGTTTGAAACACTCTTTTTTTAGTATATGGAAGTGGACATTTGGAGCGCTTTCAGGCCTACGTTGGAAAAGGAAATATCTTCCCATAACAACTAGACAGAAGCATTCTCAGAAACTAGTTTCTGATGTGTGTCCTCAACTAACACAGTTGAACATTTCTTTAGACAGAACAGTTTTGAAACACTCTTTTTGTGGAATCTGCAAGTGGCTATTTGGCTAGATTTGAGGATTTCGTTGGAAACGGGATTACATATAAAAAGCAGACAGCAGCATTCTCAGAAACTTCTTTGTGATGATTGCATTCAAGTCACAGAATTGAACATTCCCTTTCACAGAGCAGGTTTGAAACACTCTTTTTGTAGTGTGTGTAAGTGGACATTTGGAGCACTTTCCGGCCTAAGGTGAAAAAGGAAATATCTTCCCATAAAAACTAGACAGAAGCATTCTCAGAAACTTACTCGTGATGTGTGTCCTCAACTAAAGGAGTAGAACCTTTCTTTTCATAGAGAAGTTTTGAAACGCTCTTTTTGTGGAATCTGCAAGTGGATATTTGGCTAGTTTTGAGGATTTCGTTGGAAGCGGGAATTCATACAAACTGCAGACTGCAGCGTTCTGAGAAACATCTTTGTGATGTTTGTATTCAGGACACAGAGTTGAACATTCCCTATCATAGAGCAGGTTTGAATCACTCCTTTTGTAGTATCTGGAAGTGGACATTTGGAGCGCTTTCAGGCCTATGTTGGAAAAGGAAATATCTTCCCATAACAACTAGACAGAAGCATTCCCAGAAACTTATTTGAGATGTGTGTACTCAACTAAGAGAATTGAACCACCGTTTTGAAGGAGCAGTTTGGAAACACTCTTTTTCTGGAATCTGCAAGTGGATATTTGGCTAGCTTTGGGGATTTCGCTGGAAGCGGGAATACATATAAAAAGCACACAGCAGCGTTCTGAGAAACTGCTTTCTGATGTTTGCATTCAAGTCAAAAGTTGAACACTCCCTTTCATAGAGCAGTCTTGAAACACCCCTTTTGTAGTATCTGGAACTGGACATTTGGAGCGCTTTCAGGGCTAAGGTGAAAAAGGAAATATCTTCCCATAAAAACTGGACAGAAGCATTCTCAGAAACTTGTTTATGCTGTATCTACTCAACTAACAAAGTTGAACCTTTCTTTTGATAGAGTAGTTTTGAAATGCTCTTTTTGTGGAATCTGCAAGTGGATATTTGGCTAGTTTTGAGGATTTCGTTGGAAGCGGGAATTCATACAAATTGCAGACTGCAGCGTTCTGAGAAACATCTTTGTGATGTTTGTATTCAGGACACAGAGTTGAACATTCCCTATCATAGAGCAGGTTGGGATCACTCCTTTTGTAGTATCTGGAAGTGGACATTTGGAGCGCTTTCAGGCCTATGTTGAAAAAGGAAAAATCTTCCCATAACAACTAGACAGAAGCATTCTCAGAAACTTGTTGGTGATGTGTTTCCTCTACTGACAGAGTTGAACCTTTCTTTTCATAGAGCAGTTTCGAAACACTCTTTTTGTAGAATCTGCAAGAGGATATTTGCATAGCTCTGAGGATTTCGTGGGAAACGGGATTGTCTTCAGGTAAAATCTAGACAGAAGCATTCTCAGAAACTTCTTCGGGATGTTTGCATTCAAGTCACAGAGTAGAACATTCCCTTCGGTAGAGCAGGTTTGAAACACTCTTTTTGTAGTATCTGGAAGTGGACATTTGTTGCGCTTTCAGGCCTATGTTGGAAAGGGAAATATCTTCCCGTAACAACTAGGCAGAAGCATTCTCAGAAACTTATTTGAGATGTGTGTACTCAACTAAGAGAATTGAACCACCGTTTTGAAGGAGCAGTTTGGAAACACTCTTTTTCTGGAATCTGCAAGAGGATATTTGCCTAGCTTTGAGGATTTCGTTGGAAAAGGGATTGTCTTCAGATCAAATCTAGACAGAAGCATTCTCAGAAACTTCTTTGGGATGTTTGCATTCAAGTCACAGAGTAGAACATTCCTTTGGTAGAGCAGGTTTGAAACACTCTTTTTTTAGTATATGGAAGTGGACATTTGGAGCGCTTTCAGGCCTACGTTGGAAAAGGAAATATCTTCCCATAACAACTAGACAGAAGCATTCTCAGAAACTAGTTTCTGATGTGTGTCCTCAACTAACACAGTTGAACATTTCTTTAGACAGAACAGTTTTGAAACACTCTTTTTGTGGAATCTGCAAGTGGCTATTTGGCTAGATTTGAGGATTTCGTTGGAAACGGGATTACATATAAAAAGCAGTCAGCAGCATTCTCAAAAAGTTCTTTGTGATGATTGCATTCAAGTCACAGAATTGAACATTCCCTTTCACAGAGCAGGTTTGAAATACTCTTTTTTAGTGTGTGTAATTGGACATTTGGAGCACTTTCCGGCCTAAGGTGAAAAAGGAAATATCTTCCCATAAAAACTAGACAGAAGCATTCTCAGAAACTTACTCGTGATGTGTGTCCTCCACTAAATGAGTAGAACCTTTCTTTTCATAGAGAAGTTTTGAAACGCTCTTTTTGTAGAATCTGCAAGAGGATATTTGCATAGCTTTGAGGATTTCGTGGGAAACGGGATTGTCTTCAGGTAAAATCTAGACAGAAGCATTCTCAGAAACATCTTTGGGATGTTTGCATTCAAGTCACAGAGTAGAACATTCCCTTTGGTAGAGCAGGTTTGAAACACTCTTTTTGTAGTATCTGGAAGTGGACATTTGGAGCGCTTTCAGGCCTATGTTGGAAAGGGAAATATCTTCCCGTAACAACTAGGCAGAAGCATTCTCAGAAACTTATTTGAGATGTGTGTACTCAACTAAGAGAATTGAACCACCGTTTTGAAGGAGCAGTTTTGAAACCCTCTTTTTCTGGAATCTGCAAGAGTATATTTGCCTAGCCTTGAGGATTTCGTTGGAAACGGGATTGTCTTCAGATAAAATCTAGACAGAAGCATTCTCAGAAACTTCTTTGGGATGTTTGCATTCAAGTCACAGAGTAGAACATTCCCTTTGGTAGAGCAGGTTTGAAACACTCTTTTTTTAGTATATGGAAGTGGACATTTGGAGCGCTTTCAGGCCTACGTTGGAAAAGGAAATATCTTCCCATAACAACTAGACAGAAGCATTCTCAGAAACTAGTTTCTGATGTGTGTCCTCAACTAACACAGTTGAACTTTTCTTTAGACAGAACAGTTTTGAAACACTCTTTTTGTGGAATCTGCAAGTGGATATTGGGCTAGATTTGAGTATTTCGTTGGAAACGGGATTACATATAAAAAGCAGACAGCAGCATTCTCAGAAAGTTCTTTGTGATGATTGCATTCAAGTCACAGAATTGAACATTCCCTTTCACAGAGCAGGTTTGAAACACTCTTTTTGTAGTGTGTGTAAGTGGACATTTGGAACGCTTTCCGGCCTAAGGTGAAAAAGGAAATATCTTCCCATAAAAACTAGACAGAAGCATTCTCAGAAACTTACTCGTGATGTGTGTCCTCAACTAAAGGAGTAGAACCTTTCTATTCATAGAGAAGTTTTGAAACGCTCTTTTTGTGGAATCTCCAAGTGGATATTTGGCTAGTTTTGAGGATTTCGTTGGAAGCGGGAATTCATACAAATTGCAGACTGCAGCGTTCTGAGAAACATCTTTGTGATGTTTGTATTCAAGACACAGAGATGAACATTCCCTATCATAGAGCATGTTGGAATCACTCCTTTTGTAGTATCTGGAAGTGGACATTTGGAGCGCTTTCAGGCCTATGTTGAAAAAGGAAATATCGTCCCATGCCAACTAGACACAAGCATTCTCAGAAACTTATTTGAGATGTGTGTACTCAACTAAGAGAATTGAACCACCGTTTTGAAGGAGCAGTTTTGAAACACTCTTTTTCTGGAATCTGCAAGTGGATATTTGGCTAGCTTTGGGGATTTCGCTGGAAGCGGGAATACATATAAAAAGCACACAGCAGCGTTCTGAGAAACTGCTTTCTGATGTTTGCATTCAAGTCAAAAGTTGAACACTCCCTTTCATAGAGCAGTCCTGAAACACTCCTTTTGTAGTATCTGGAACTGGACTTTTGGAGCGCTTTCAGGGCTAAGGTGAAAAAGGAAATATCTTCCCATAAAAACTGGACAGAAGCATTCTCAGAAACTTGTTTATGCTGTATCTACTCAACTAACAAAGTTGAACCTTTCTTTTGATAGAGCAGTTTTGAAATGCTCTTTTTGTGGAATCTGCAAGTGGATATTTGGCTAGTTTTGAGGATTTCGTTGGAAGCGGGAATTCATACAAATTGCAGACTGCAGCGTTCTGAGAAACATCTTTGTGATGTTTGTATTCAGGACACAGAGTTGAACATTCCCTATCATAGAACAGGTTGTAATCACTCCTTTTGTAGTATCTGGAAGTGGACATTTGGAGCGCTTTCAGGCCTATGTTGAAAAAGGATATATCTTCCCATAACAACTAGACACAAGCATTCTCAGAAACTTGTTTGTGATGTGTGCCCTCTACTGACAGAGTTGAACCTTTCTTTTCATAGAGCAGTTTTGAAACACTCTTTTTGTAGAATCTGCAAGAGGATATTTGCATAGCTTTGAGGATTTCGTGGGAAACGGGATTGTCTTCAGGTAAAATCTAGACAGAAGCATTCTCAGAAACTTCTTTGGGATGTTTGCATTCAAGTCACAGAGTAGAACATTCCCTTTGGTAGAGCAGGTTTGAAACACTCTTTTTGTAGTATCTGGAAGTGGACATTTGGAGCGCTTTCAGGCCTATGTTGGAAAGGGAAATATCTTCCCGTAACAACTAGGCAGAAGCATTCTCAGAAACTTATTTGAGATGTGTGTACTCAACTAAGAGAATTGAACCACCGTTTTGAAGGAGCAGTTTTGAAACACTCTTTTTCTGGAATCTGCAAGAGGATATTTGCCTAGCCTTGAGGATTTCGTTGGAAACGGGATTGTCTTCAGATCAAATCTAGACAGAAGCATTCTCAGAAACTTCTTTGGGATGTTTGCATTCAAGTCACAGAGTAGAACATTCCCTTTGGTAGAGCAGGTTTGAAACACTCTTTTTGTAGTATCTGGAAGTGGACATTTGGAGCGCTTTCAGGCCTATGTTGGAAAGGGAAATATCTTCCCGTAACAACTAGGCAGAAGCATTCTCAGAAACTTATTTGAGATGTGTGTACTCAACTAAGAGAATTGAACCACCGTTTTGAAGGAGCAGTTTTGAAACACTCTTTTTCTGGAATCTGCAAGAGGATATTTCCCTAGCCTTGAGGATTTCGTTGGAAACGGGATTGTCTTCAGATCAAATCTAGACAGAAGCATTCTCAGAAACTTCTTTGGGATGCTTGCATTCAAGTCACAGAGTAGAACATTCCCTTTGGTAGAGCAGGTTTGAAACACTCTTTTTGTAGTATCTGGAAGTGGACATTTGGAGCGCTTTCAGGCCTACGTTGGAAAAGGAAATATCTTCCCATAACAACTAGACAGAAGCATTCTCAGAAACTAGTTTCTGATGTGTGTCCTCAACTAACACAGTTGAACATTTCTTTAGACAGAACAGTTTTGAAACACTCTTTTTGTGGAATCTGCAAGTGGCTATTTGGCTAGATTTGAGGATTTCGTTGGAAACGGGATTACATATAAAAAGCAGTCAGCAGCATTCTCAGAAAGTTCTTTGTGATGATTGCATTCAAGTCACAGAATTGAACATTCCCTTTCACAGAGCAGGTTTGAAACACTCTTTTTGTAGTGTGTGTAAGTGGACATTTGGAGCACTTACCGGCCTAAGGTGAAAAAGGAAATAATCTTCCCATAAAAACTAGACAGAAAGCATTCTCAGAAACTTACTCGTGATGTGTGTCCTCAACTAAAGGAGTAGAACCTTTCTTTTCATAGAGAAGTTTTGAAACGCTCTTTTTGTGGAATCTGCAAGTGGATATTTGGCTAGTTTTGAGGATTTCGTTGGAAGCGGGAATTCATACAAATTGCAGACTGAGCGTTCTGAGAAACATCTTTGTGATGTTTGTATTCAGGACACAGAGTTGAACATTCCCTATCATAGAGCAGGTTTGAATCACTCCTTTTGTAGTATCTGGAAGTGGACATTTGGAGCGCTTTCAGGCCTATGTTGGAAAAGGAAATATCTTCCCATAACAACTAGACAGAAGCATTCTCAGAAACTTATTTGAGATGTGTGTACTCAACTAAGAGAATTGAACCACCGTTTTGAAGGAGCAGTTTTGAAACTCTCTTTTTCTGGAATCTGCAAGTGGATATTTGGCTAGCTTTGGGGATTTCGCTGGAAGCGGGAATACATATAAAAAGCACACAGCAGCGTTCTGAGAAACTGCTTTCTGATGTTTGCATTCAAGTCAAAAGTTGAACACTCCCTTTCATAGAGCAGTCCTGAAACACCCCTTTTGTAGTATCTGGAACTGGACTTTTGGAGCGATTTCAGGGCTAAGGTGAAAAAGGAAATATCTTCCCATAAAAACTGGACAGAAGCATTCTCAGAAACTTGTTTATGCTGTATCTACTCAACTAACAAAGTTGAACCTTTCTTTTGATAGAGCAGTTTTGAAATGGTCTTTTTGTGGAATCTGCAAGTGGATATTTGGCTAGTTTTGAGGATTTCGTTGGAAGCGGGAATTCATACAAATTGCAGACTGCAGCGTTCTGAGAAACATCTTTGTGATGTTTGTATTCAGGACACAGAGTTGAACATTCCCTATCATAGAGCAGGTTGGAATCACTCCTTTTGTAGTATCTGGAAGTGGACATTTGGAGCGCTTTCAGGCCTATGTTGGAAAAGGAAATATCTTCCCATAACAACTAGACAGAAGCATTCTCAGAAACTTATTTGAGATGTGTGTACTCAACTAAGAGAATTGAACCACCGTTTTGAAGGAGCAGTTTTGAAACACTCTTTTTCTGGAATCTGCAAGTGGATATTTGGCTAGCTTTGGGGATTTCGCTGGAAGCGGGAATACATATAAAAAGCACACAGCAGCGTTCTGAGAAACTGCTTTCTGATGTTTGCATTCAAGTCAAAAGTTGAACACTCCCTTTCATAGAGCAGTCTTGAAACACCCCTTTTGTAGTATCTGGAACTGGACTTTTGGAGCGATTTCAGGGCTAAGGTGAAAAAGGAAATATCTTCCCATAAAAACTGGACAGAAGCATTCTCAGAAACTTGTTTATGCTGTATCTACTCAACTAACAAAGTTGAACCTTTCTTTTGATAGAGCAGTTTTGAAATGGTCTTTTTGTGGAATCTGCAAGTGGATATTTGGCTAGTTTTGAGGATTTCGTTGGAAGCGGGAATTCATACAAATTGCAGACTGCAGCGTTCTGAGAAACATCTTTGTGATGTTTGTATTCAGGACACAGAGTTGAACATTCCCTATCATAGAGCAGGTTGGAATCACTCCTTTTGTAGTATCTGGAAGTGGACATTTGGAGCGCTTTCAGGCCTATGTTGGAAAAGGAAATATCTTCCCATAACAACTAGACAGAAGCATTCTCAGAAACTTATTTGAGATGTGTGTACTCAACTAAGAGAATTGAACCACCGTTTTGAAGGAGCAGTTTTGAAACACTCTTTTTCTGGAATCTGCAAGTGGATATTTGGCTAGCTTTGGGGATTTCGCTGGAAGCGGGAATACATATAAAAAGCACACAGCAGCGTTCTGAGAAACTGCTTTCTGATGTTTGCATTCAAGTCAAAAGTTGAACACTCCCTTTCATAGAGCAGTCCTGAAACACTCCTTTTGTAGTATCTGGAACTGGACTTTTGGAGCGCTTTCAGGGCTAAGGTGAAAAAGGAAATATCTTCCCATAAAAACTGGACAGAAGCATTCTCAGAAACTTACTCGTATTGTGTGTCCTCAACTAAAGGAGTAGAACCTTTCTTTTCATAGAGAAGTTTTGAAACGCTCTTTTTGTGGAATCTGCAAGTGGATATTTGGCTAGTTTTGAGGATTTCGTTGGAAGCGGGAATTCATACAAATTGCAGACTGCAGCGTTCTGAGAAACTGCTTTCTGATGTTTGCATTCAAGTCAAAAGTTGAACACTCCCTTTCATAGAGCAGTCCTGAAACACTCCTTTTGTAGTATCTGGAACTGGACTTTTGGAGCGCTTTCAGGGCTAAGGTGAAAAAGGAAATATCTTCCCATAAAAACTGGACAGAAGCATTCTCAGAAACTTGTTTATGCTGTATCTACTCAACTAACAAAGTTGAACCTTTCTTTTGATAGAGCAGTTTTGAAATGCTCTTTTTGTGGAATCTGCAAGTGGATATTTGGCTAGTTTTGAGGATTTCGTTGGAAGCGGGAATTCATACAAATTGCAGACTGCAGCGTTCTGAGAAACATCTTTGTGATGTTTGTATTCAGGACAGAGAGTTGAACATTCCCTATCATAGAGCAGGTTGGAATCACTCCTTTTGTAGTATCTGGAAGTGGACATTTGGAGCGCTTTCAGGCCTATGTTGAAAAAGGAAATATCTTCCCATAACAACTAGACACAAGCATTCTCAGAAACTTGTTTGTGATGTGTGCCCTCTACTGACACAGTTGAACCTTTCTTTTCATAGAGCAGTTTTGAAACACTCTTTTTGTAGAATCTGCAAGAGGATATTTGCATAGCTTTGAGGATTTCGTGGGAAACGGGATTGTCTTCAGGTAAAATCTAGACAGAAGCATTCTCAGAAACTTCTTCGGGATGTTTGCATTCAAGTCACAGAGTAGAACATTCCCTTTGGTAGAGCAGGTTTGAAACACTCTTTTTGTCGTATCTGGAAGTGGACATTTGTTGCGCTTTCAGGTCTATGTTGGAAAGGGAAATATCTTCCCGTAACAACTAGGCAGAAGCATTCTCAGAAACTTATTTGAGATGTGTGTACTCAACTAAGAGAATTGAACCACCGTTTTGAAGGAGCAGTTTGGAAACACTCTTTTTCTGGAATCTGCAAGAGGATATTTGCCTAGCTTTGAGGATTTCGTTGGAAAAGGGATTGTCTTCAGATCAAATCTAGACAGAAGCATTCTCAGAAACTTCTTTGGGATGTTTGCATTCAAGTCACAGAGTAGAACATTCCTTTGGTAGAGCAGGTATGAAACACTCTTTTTTTAGTATATGGAAGTGGACATTTGGAGCGCTTTCAGGCCTACGTTGGAAAAGGAAATATCTTCCCATAACAACTAGACAGAAGCATTCTCAGAAACTAGTTTCTGATGTGTGTCCTCAACTAACACAGTTGAACATTTCTTTAGACAGAACAGTTTTGAAACACTCTTTTTGTGGAATCTGCAAGTGGATATTTGGCTAGATTTGAGGATTTCGTTGGAAACGGGATTACATATAAAAAGCAGACAGCAGCATTCTCAGAAACTTCTTTGTGATGATTGCATTCAAGTCACAGAATTGAACATTCCCTTTCACAGAGCAGGTTTGAAACACTCTTTTTGTAGTGTGTGTAAGTGGACATTTGGAGCACTTTTCGGCCTAAGGTGTACAAGGAAATATCTTCCCATAAGAACTAGACAGAAGCATTCTCAGAAACTTACTCGTGATGTGTGTCCTCAACTAAAGGAGTAGAAACTTTCTTTTCATAGAGAAGTTTTGAAACGCTCTTTTTGTGGACTCTGCAAGTGGATATTTGGCTAGTTTGGAGGATTTCGTTGGAAGCGGGAATTCATACAAATTGCAGACTGCAGCATTCTCAGAAACTTATTTGAGATGTGTGTACTCAACTAAGAGAATTGAACCACCGTTTTGAAGGAGCAGTTTTGAAACTCTCTTTTTCTGGAATCTGCAAGTGGATATTTGGCTAGCTTTGGGGATTTCGCTGGAAGCGGGAATACATATAAAAAGCACACAGCAGCGTTCTGAGAAACTGCTTTCTGATGTTTGCATTCAAGTCAAAAGTTGAACACTCCCTTTCATAGAGCAGTCTTGAAACACCCCTTTTGTAGTATCTGGAACTGGACTTTTGGAGCGATTTCAGGGCTAAGGTGAAAAAGGAAATATCTTCCCATAAAAACTGGACAGAAGCATTCTCAGAAACTTGTTTATGCTGTATCTACTCAACTAACAAAGTTGAACCTTTCTTTTGATAGAGCAGTTTTGAAATGGTCTTTTTGTGGAATCTGCAAGTGGATATTTGGCTAGTTTTGAGGATTTCGTTGGAAGCGGGAATTCATACAAATTGCAGACTGCAGCGTTCTGAGAAACATCTTTGTGATGTTTGTATTCAGGACAGAGAGTTGAACATTCCCTATCATAGAGCAGGTTGGAATCACTCCTTTTGTAGTATCTGGAAGTGGACATTTGGAGCGCTTTCAGGCCTATGTTGAAAAAGGAAATATCTTCCCATAACAACTAGACACAAGCATTCTCAGAAACTTGTTTGTGATGTGTGCCCTCTACTGACAGAGTTGAACCTTTCTTTTCATAGAGCAGTTTTGAAACACTCTTTTTGTAGAATCTGCAAGAGGATATTTGCATAGCTTTGAGGATTTCGTGGGAAACGGGATTGTCTTCAGGTAAAATCTAGACAGAAGCATTCTCAGAAACTTCTTTTGGATGTTTGCATTCAAGTCACAGAGTAGAACATTCCCTTTGGTAGAGCAGGTTTGAAACACTCTTTTTGTAGTATCTGGAAGTGGACATTTGGAGCGCTTTCAGGCCTATGTTGGAAAGGGAAATATCTTCCCGTAACAACTAGGCAGAAGCATTCTCAGAAACTTATTTGAGATGTGTGTACTCAACTAAGAGAATTGAACCACCGTTTTGAAGGAGCAGTTTTGAAACACTCTTTTTCTGGAATCTGCAAGAGGATATTTGCCTAGCCTTGAGGATTTCGTTGGAAACGGGATTGTCTTCAGATCAAATCTAGACAGAAGCATTCTCAGAAACTTCTTTGGGATGTTTGCATTCAAGTCACAGAGTAGAACATTCCCTTTGGTAGAGCAGGTTTGAAACACTCTTTTTTTAGTATATGGAAGTGGACATTTGGAGCGCTTTCAGGCCTACGTTGGAAAAGGAAATATCTTCCCATAACAACTAGACAGAAGCATTCTCAGAAACTAGTTTCTGATGTGTGTCCTCAACTAACACAGTTGAACATTTCTTTAGACAGAACAGTTTTGAAACACTCTTTTTGTGGAATCTGCAAGTGGCTATTTGGCTAGATTTGAGGATTTCGTTGGAAACGGGATTACATATAAAAAGCAGTCAGCAGCATTCTCAGAAACTTCTTTGTGATGATTGCATTCAAGTCACAGGATTGAACATTCCCTTTCACAGAGCAGGTTTGAAACACTCTTTTTGTAGTGTGTGTAAGTGGACATTTGGAGCGCTTTTCGGCCTAAGGTGAACAAGGAAATATCTTCCCATAAAAACTAGACAGAAGCATTCTCAGAAACTTACTCGTGATGTGTGTCCTCAACTAAAGGAGTAGAACCTTTCTTTTCATAGAGAAGTTTTGAAACGCTCTTTTTGTGGAATCTGCAAGTGGATATTTGGCTAGTTTTGAGGATTTCGTTGGAAGCGGGAATTCATACAAATTGCAGACTGCAGCGTTCTGAGAAACATCTTTGTGATGTTTGTATTCAGGACACAGAGTTGAACATTCCCTATCATAGAGCAGGTTGGAATCACTCCTTTTGTAGTATCTGGAAGTGGACATTTGGAGCGCTTTCAGGCCTATGTTGGAAAAGGAAATATCTTCCCATAACAACTAGACAGAAGCATTCTCAGAAACTTATTTGAGATGTGTGTACTCAACTAAGAGAATTGAACCACCGTTTTGAAGGAGCAGTTTTGAAACTCTCTTTTTCTGGAATCTGCAAGTGGATATTTGGCTAGCTTTGGGGATTTCGCTGGAAGCGGGAATACATATAAAAAGCACACAGCAGCGTTCTGAGAAACTGCTTTCTGATGTTTGCATTCAAGTCAAAAGTTGAACACTCCCTTTCATAGAGCAGTCCTGAAACACCCCTTTTGTAGTATCTGGAACTGGACTTTTGGAGCGATTTCAGGGCTAAGGTGAAAAAGGAAATATCTTCCCATAAAAACTGGACAGAAGCATTCTCAGAAACTTGTTTATGCTGTATCTACTCAACTAACAAAGTTGAACCTTTCTTTTGATAGAGCAATTTTGAAATGCTCTTTTTGTGGAATCTGCAAGTGGATATTTGGCTAGTTTTGAGGATTTCGTTGGAAGCGGGAATTCATACAAATTGCAGACTGCAGCGTTCTGAGAAACATCTTTGTGATGTTTGTATTCAGGACAGAGAGTTGAACATTCCCTATCATAGAGCAGGTTGGAATCACTCCTTTTGTAGTATCTGGAAGTGGACATTTGGAGCGCTTTCAGGCCTATGTTGAAAAAGGAAATATCTTCCCATAACAACTAGACACAAGCATTCTCAGAAACTTGTTTGTGATGTGTGCCCTCTACTGACAGAGTTGAACCTTTCTTTTCATAGAGCAGTTTTGAAACACTCTTTTTGTAGAATCTGCAAGAGGATATTTGCATAGCTTTGAGGATTTCGTGGGAAACGGGATTGTCTTCAGGTAAAATCTAGACAGAAGCATTCTCAGAAACTTCTTTGGGATGTTTGCATTCAAGTCACAGAGTAGAACATTCCCTTTGGTAGAGCAGGTTTGAAACACTCTTTTTGTAGTATCTGGAAGTGGACATTTGGAGCGCTTTCAGGCCTATGTTGGAAAGGGAAATATCTTCCCGTAACAACTAGGCAGAAGCATTCTCAGAAACTTATTTGAGATGTGTGTACTCAACTAAGAGAATTGAACCACCGTTTTGAAGGAGCAGTTTTGAAACACTCTTTTTCTGGAATCTGCAAGAGGATATTTGCCTAGCTTTGAGGATTTCGTTGGAAACGGGATTGTCTTCAGATCAAATCTAGACAGAAGCATTCTCAGAAACTTCTTTGGGATGTTTGCATTCAAGTCACAGAGTAGAACATTCCCTTTGGTAGAGCAGGTTTGAAACACTCTTTTTTTAGTATATGGAAGTGGACATTTGGAGCGCTTTCAGGCCTACGTTGGAAAAGGAAATATCTTCCCATAACAACTAGACAGAAGCATTCTCAGAAACTAGTTTCTGATGTGTGTCCTCAACTAACACAGTTGAACATTTCTTTAGACAGAACAGTTTTGAAACACTCTTTTTGTGGAATCTGCAAGTGGCTATTTGGCTAGATTTGAGGATTTCGTTGGAAAGGGGATTACATATAAAAAGCAGACAGCAGCATTCTCAGAAAGTTCTTTGTGATGATTGCATTCAAGTCACAGAATTGAACATTCCCTTTCACAGAGCAGGTTTGAAACACTCTTTTTGTAGTGTGTGTAAGTGGACATTTGGAGCACTTTCCGGCCTAAGGTGAAAAAGGAAATATCTTCCCATAAAAACTAGACAGAAGCATTCTCAGAAACTTACTCGTGATGTGTGTCCTCAACTAAAGGAGTAGAAACTTTCTTTTCATAGAGAAGTTTTGAAACGCTCTTTTTGTGGAATCTGCAAGTGGATATTTGGCTAGTTTTGAGGATTTCGTTGGAAGCGGGAATTCATACAAATTGCAGACTGCAGCGTTCTGAGAAACATCTTTGTGATGTTTGTATTCAGGACACAGAGTTGAACATTCCCTATCATAGAGCAGGTTTGAATCACTCCTTTTGTAGTATCTGGAAGTGGACATTTGGAGCGCTTTCAGGCCTATGTTGGAAAAGGAAATATCTTCCCATAACAACTAGACAGAAGCATTCTCAGAAACTTATTTGAGATGTGTGTACTCAACTAAGAGAATTGAACCACCGTTTTGAAGGAGCAGTTTTGAAACTCTCTTTTTCTGGAATCTGCAAGTGGATATTTGGCTAGCTTTGGGGATTTCGCTGGAAGCGGGAATACATATAAAAAGCACACAGCAGCGTTCTGAGAAACTGCTTTCTGATGTTTGCATTCAAGTCAAAAGTTGAACACTCCCTTTCATAGAGCAGTCTTGAAACACCCCTTTTGTAGTATCTGGAACTGGACTTTTGGAGCGATTTCAGGGCTAAGGTGAAAAAGGAAATATCTTCCCATAAAAACTGGACAGAAGCATTCTCAGAAACTTGTTTATGCTGTATCTACTCAACTAACAAAGTTGAACCTTTCTTTTGATAGAGCAGTTTTGAAATGGTCTTTTTGTGGAATCTGCAAGTGGATATTTGGCTAGTTTTGAGGATTTCGTTGGAAGCGGGAATTCATACAAATTGCAGACTGCAGCGTTCTGAGAAACATCTTTGTGATGTTTGTATTCAGGACACAGAGTTGAACATTCCCTATCATAGAGCAGGTTGGAATCACTCCTTTTGTAGTATCTGGAAGTGGACATTTGGAGCGCTTTCAGGCCTATTTTGGAAAGGGAAATATCTTCCCGTAACAACTATGCAGAAGCATTCTCAGAAACTTGTCTGTGATGTGTGCCCTCTACTGACAGAGTTGAACCTTTCTTTTCATAGAGCAGTTTTGAAACACTCTTTTTGTAGAATCTGCAAGAGGATATTTGCATAGCTTTGAGGATTACGTGGGAAACGGGATTGTCTTCAGGTAAAATCTAGACAGAAGCATTCTCAGAAACTTCTTTGGGATGTTTGCATTCAAGTCAAAGAGTAGAACATTCCCTTTGGTAGAGTAGGTTTGAAACACTCTTTTTGTAGTATCTGGAAGTGGACATTTGGAGCGCTTTCAGGCCTATGTTGGAAAGGGAAATATCTTCCCGTAACAACTAGGCAGAAGCATTCTCAGAAACTTATTTGAGATGTGTGTACTCAACTAAGAGAATTGAACCACCGTTTTGAAGGAGCAGTTTTGAAACACTCTTTTTCTGGAATCTGCAAGAGGATATTTGCCTAGCCTTGAGGATTTCGTTGGAAACGGGATTGTCTTCAGATCAAATCTAGACAGAAGCATTCTCAGAAACTTCTTTGGGATGTTTGCATTCAAGTCACAGAGTAGAACATTCCCTTTGGTAGAGCAGGTTTGAAACACTCTTTTTTTAGTATATGGAAGTGGACATTTGGAGCGCATTCAGGCCTACGTTGGAAAAGGAAATATCTTCCCATAACAACTAGACAGAAGCATTCTCAGAAACTAGTTTCTGATGTGTGTCCTCAACTAACACAGTTGCACATTTCTTTAGACAGAACAGTTTTGAAACACTCTTTTTGTGGAATCTGCAAGTGGCTATTTGGCTAGATTTGAGGATTTCGTTGGAAACGGGATTACATATAAAAAGCAGTCAGCAGCATTCTCAAAAAGTTCTTTGTGATGATTGCATTCAAGTCACAGAATTGAACATTCCCTTTCACAGAGCAGGTTTGAAATACTCTTTTTTAGTGTGTGTAATTGGACATTTGGAGCACTTTCCGGCCTAAGGTGAAAAAGGAAATATCTTCCCATAAAAACTAGACAGAAGCATTCTCAGAAACTTACTCGTGATGTGTGTCCTCAACTAAAGGAGTAGAACCTTTCTTTTCATAGAGAAGTTTTGAAACGCTCTTTTTGTGGAATCTGCAAGTGGATATTTGGCTAGTTTTGAGGATTTCGTTGGAAGCGGGAATTCATACAAATTGCAGACTGCAGCGTTCTGAGAAACATCTTTGTGATGTTTGTATTCAGGACACAGAGTTGAACATTCCCTATCATAGAGCAGGTTTGAATCACTCCTTTTGTAGTATCTGGAAGTGGACATTTGGAGCGCTTTCAGGCCTATGTTGGAAAAGGAAATATCTTCCCATAACAACTAGACAGAAGCATTCTCAGAAACTTATTTGAGATGTGTGTACTCAACTAAGAGAATTGAACCACCGTTTTGAAGGAGCAGTTTTGAAACTCTCTTTTTCTGGAATCTGCAAGTGGATATTTGGCTAGCTTTGGGGATTTCGCTGGAAGCGGGAATACATATAAAAAGCACACAGCAGCGTTCTGAGAAACTGCTTTCTGATGTTTGCATTCAAGTCAAAAGTTGAACACTCCCTTTCATAGAGCAGTCCTGAAACACCCCTTTTGTAGTATCTGGAACTGGACTTTTGGAGCGATTTCAGGGCTAAGGTGAAAAAGGAAATATCTTCCCATAAAAACTGGACAGAAGCATTCTCAGAAACTTGTTTATGCTGTATCTACTCAACTAACAAAGTTGAACCTTTCTTTTGATAGAGCAGTTTTGAAATGCTCTTTTTGTGGAATCTGCAAGTGGATATTTGGCTAGTTTTGAGGATTTGGTTGGAAGCGGGAATTCATACAAATTGCAGACTGCAGCGTTCTGAGAAACATCTTTGTGATGTTTGTATTCAGGACAGAGAGTTGAACATTCCCTATCATAGAGCAGGTTGGAATCACTCCTTTTGTAGTATCTGGAAGTGGACATTTGGAGCGCTTTCAGGCCTATGTTGAAAAAGGAAATATCTTCCCATAACAACTAGACACAAGCATTCTCAGAAACTTGTTTGTGATGTGTGCCCTCTACTGACAGAGTTGAACCTTTCTTTTCATAGAGCAGTTTTGAAACACTCTTTTTGTAGAATCTGCAAGAGGATATTTGCATAGCTTTGAGGATTTCGTGGGAAACGGGATAGTCTTCAGGTAAAATCTAGACAGAAGCATTCTCAGAAACTTCTTTGGGATGTTTGCATTCAAGTCACAGAGTAGAACATTCCCTTTGGTAGAGTAGGTTTGAAACACTCTTTTTGTAGTATTTGGAAGTGGACATTTGGAGCGCTTTCAGGCCTATGTTGGAAAGGGAAATATCTTCCCGTAACAACTAGGCAGAAGCATTCTCAGAAACTTATTTGAGATGTGTGTACTCAACTAAGAGAATTGAACCACCGTTTTGAAGGAGCAGTTTTGAAACACTCTTTTTCTGGAATCTGCAAGAGGATATTTGCCTAGCCTTGAGGATTTCGTTGGAAACGGGATTGTCTTCAGATCAAATCTAGACAGAAGCATTCTCAGAAACTTCTTTGGGATGTTTGCATTCAAGTCACAGAGTAGAACATTCCCTTTGGTAGAGCAGGTTTGAAACACTCTTTTTTTAGTATATGGAAGTGGACATTTGGAGCGCTTTCAGGCCTACGTTGGAAAAGGAAATATCTTCCCATAACAACTAGACAGAAGCATTCTCAGAAACTAGTTTCTGATGTGTGTCCTCAACTAACACAGTTGAACATTTCTTTAGACAGAACAGTTTTGAAACACTCTTTTTGTGGAATCTGCAAGGGGCTATTTGGCTAGATTTGAGGATTTCGTTGGAAACGGGATTACATATAAAAAGCAGACAGCAGCATTCTCAGAAACTTCTTTGTGATGATTGCATTCAAGTCACAGAATTGAACATTCCCTTTCACAGAGCAGGTTTGAAACACTCTTTTTGTAGTGTGTGTAAGTGGACATTTGGAGCGCTTTCCGGCCTAAGGTGAACAAGGAAATATCTTCCCATAAAAACTAGACAGAAGTATTCTCAGAAACTTACTCGTGATGTGTGTCCTCAACTAAAGGAGTAGAACCTTTCTTTTCATAGAGAAGTTTTGAAACGCTCTTTTTGTGGAATCTGCAAGTGGATATTTGGCTAGTTTTGAGGATTTCGTTGGAAGCGGGAATTCATACAAATTGCAGACTGCAGCGTTCTGAGAAACATCTTTGTGATGTTTGTATTCAGGACACAGAGTTGAACGTTCCCTATCATAGAGCAGGTTTGAATCACTCCTTTTGTAGTATCTGGAAGTGGACATTTGGAGCGCTTTCCGGCCTCAGGTGAAAAAGGAAATATCTTCCCATAAAAACTAGACAGAAGCATTCTCAGAAACTTATTTGAGATGTGTGTACTCAACTAAGAGAATTGAACCACCGTTTTGAAGGAGCAGTTTTGAAACACTCTTTTTCTGGAATCTGCAAGTGGATATTTGGCTAGCTTTGGGGATTTCGCTGGAGGCGGGAATACATATAAAAAGCACACAGCAGCGTTCTGAGAAACTGCTTTCTGATGTTTGCATTCAAGTCAAAAGTTGAACACTACCTTTCATAGAGCAGTCCTGAAACACTCCTTTTGTAGTATCTGGAACTGGACTTTTGGAGCGCTTTCAGGGCTAAGGTGAAAAAGGAAATATCTTCCCATAAAAACTGGACAGAAGCATTCTCAGAAACTTGTTTATGCTGTATCTACTCAACTAACAAAGTTGAACCTTTCTTTTGATAGAGCAGTTTTGAAATGCTCTTTTTGTGGAATCTGCAAGTGGATATTTGGCTAGTTTTGAGGATTTCGTTGGAAGCGGGAATTCATACAAATTGCAGACTGCAGCGTTCTGAGAAACATCTTTGTGATGTTTGTATTCAGGACACAGAGTTGAACATTCCCTATCATAGAGCAGGTTGGAATCACTCCTTTTGTAGTATCTGGAAGTGGACATTTGGAGCGCTTTCAGGCCTATTTTGGAAAGGGAAATATCTTCCCGTAACAACTATGCAGAAGCATTCTCAGAAACTTGTTTGTGATGTGTGCCCTCTACTGACAGAGTTGAACCTTTCTTTTCATAGAGCAGTTTTGAAACACTCTTTTTGTAGAATCTGCAAGAGGATATTTGCATAGCTTTGAGGATTTCGTGGGAAACGGGATTGTCTTCAGGTAAAATCTAGACAGAAGCATTCTCAGAAACTTCTTTGGGATGTTTGCATTCAAGTCACAGAGTAAAACATTCCCTTTGGTAGAGCAGGTTTGAAACACTCTTTTTGTAGTATCTGGAAGTGGACATTTGGAGCGCTTTCAGGCCCATGTTGGAAAGGGAAATATCTTCCCGTAACAACTAGGCAGAAGCATTCTCAGAAACTTATTTGAGATGTGTGTACTCAACTAAGAGAATTGAACCACCGTTTTGAAGGAGCAGTTTTGAAACACTCTTTTTCTGGAATCTGCAAGAGTATATTTGCCTAGCCTTGAGGATTTCGTTGGAAACGGGATTGTCTTCAGAGAAAATCTAGACAGAAGCATTCTCAGAAACTTCTTTGGGATGTTTGCATTCAAGTCACAGAGTAGAACATTCCCTTTGGTAGAGCAGGTTTGAAACACTCTTTTTGTAGTATCTGGAAGTGGACATTTGGAGCGCTTTCAGGCCTACGTTGGAAAAGGAAATATCTTCCCATAACAACTAGACAGAAGCATTCTCAGAAACTAGTTTCTGATGTGTGTCCTCAACTAACACAGTTGAACATTTCTTTAGACAGAACAGTTTTGAAACACTCTTTTTGTGGAATCTGCAAGTGGCTATTTGGCTAGATTTGAGGATTTCGTTGGAAACGGGATTACATATAAAAAGCAGTCAGCAGCATTCTCAGAAAGTTCTTTGTGATGATTGCATTCAAGTCACAGAATTGAACATTCCCTTTCACAGAGCAGGTTTGAAACACTCTTTTTGTAGTGTGTGTAAGTGGACATTTGGAGCGCTTTCCGGCCTAAGGTGAAAAAGGAAATATCTTCCCATAAAAACTAGACAGAAGCATTCTCAGAAACTTACTCGTGATGTGTGTCCTCAACTAAAGGAGTAGAACCTTTCTTTTCATAGAGAAGTTTTGAAACGCTCTTTTTGTGGAATCTGCAAGTGGATATTTGGCTAGTTTTGAGGATTTCGTTGGAAGCGGGAATTCATACAAATTGCAGACTGCAGCGTTCTGAGAAACATCTTTGTGATGTTTGTATTCAGGACACAGAGTTGAACATTCCCTATCATAGAGCAGGTTTGAATCACTCCTTTTGTAGTATCTGGAAGTGGACATTTGGAGCGCTTTCAGGCCTATGTTGGAAAAGGAAATATCTTCCCATAACAACTAGACAGAAGCATTCTCAGAAACTTATTTGAGATGTGTGTACTCAACTAAGAGAATTGAACCACCGTTTTGAAGGAGCAGTTTTGAAACACTCTTTTTCTGGAATCTGCAAGTGGATATTTGGCTAGCTTTGGGGATTTCGCTGGAAGCGGGAATACATATAAAAAGCACACAGCAGCGTTCTGAGAAACTGCTTTCTGATGTTTGCATTCAAGTCAAAAGTTGAACACTCCCTTTCATAGAGCAGTCCTGAAACACTCCTTTTGTAGTATCTGGAACTGGACTTTTGGAGCGCTTTCAGGGCTAAGGTGAAAAAGGAAATATCTTCCCATAAAAACTGGACAGAAGCATTCTCAGAAACTTACTCGTATTGTGTGTCCTCAACTAAAGGAGTAGAACCTTTCTTTTCATAGAGAAGTTTTGAAACGCTCTTTTTGTGGAATCTGCAAGTGGATATTTGGCTAGTTTTGAGGATTTCGTTGGAAGCGGGAATTCATACAAATTGCAGACTGCAGCGTTCTCAGAAACATCTTTGTGATGTTTGTATTCAGGACACAGAGTTGAACATTCCCTATCATAGAGCAGGTTGGAATCACTCCTTTTGTAGTATCTGGAAGTGGACATTTGGAGCGCTTTCAGGCCTATGTTGAAAAAGGAAATATCTTCCCATAACAACTAGACAGAAGCATTCTCAGAAACTTATTTGAGATGTGTGTACTCAACTAAGAGAATTGAACCACCGTTTTGAAGGAGCAGTTTTGAAACACTCTTTTTCTGGAATCTGCAAGTGGATATTTGGTTAGCTTTGGGGATTTCGCTGGAAGCGGGAATACATATAAAAAGCACACAGCAGCGTTCTGAGAAACTGCTTTCTGATGTTTGCATTCAAGTCAAAAGTTGAACACTCCCTTTCATAGAGCAGTCCTGAAACACCCCTTTTGTAGTATCTGGAACTGGACTTTTGGAGCGATTTCAGGGCTAAGGTGAAAAAGGAAATATCTTCCCATAAAAACTGGACAGAAGCATTCTCAGAAACTTGTTTATGCTGTATCTACTCAACTAACAAAGTTGAACCTTTCTTTTGATAGAGCAGTTTTGAAATGGTCTTTTTCTGGAATCTGCAAGTGGATATTTGGCTAGTTTTGAGGATTTCGTTGGAAGCGGGAATTCATACAAATTGCAGACTGCAGCGTTATGAGAAACATCTTTGTGATGTTTGTATTCAGGACACAGAGTTGAACATTCCCTATCATAGAGCAGGTTGGAATCACTCCTTTTGTAGTATCTGGAAGTGGACATTTGGAGCGCTTTCAGGCCTATTTTGGACAGGGAAATATCTTCCCATAACAACTATGCAGAAGCATTCTCAGAAACTTGTTTGTGATGTGTGCCCTCTACTGACAGAGTTGAACCTTTCTTTTCATAGAGCAGTTTTGAAACACTCTTTTTGTAGAATCTGCAAGAGGATATTTGCATAGCTTTGAGGATTTCGTGGGAAACGGGATTGTCTTCAGGTAAAATCTAGACAGAAGCATTCTCAGAAACTTCTTTGGGATGTTTGCATTCAAGTCACAGAGTAGAACATTCCCTTTGGTAGAGCAGGTTTGAAACCCTCTTTTTGTAGTATCTGGAAGTGGACATTTGGAGCACTTTCAGGCCCATGTTGGAAAGGGAAATATCTTTCCGTAACAACTAGGCAGAAGCATTCTCAGAAACTTATTTGAGATGTGTGTACTCAACTAAGAGAATTGAACCACCGTTTTGAAGGAGCAGTTTTGAAACACTCTTTTTCTGGAATCTGCAAGAGTATATTTGCCTAGCCTTGAGGATTTCGTTGGAAACGGGATTGTCTTCAGATAAAATCTAGACAGAAGCATTCTCAGAAACTTCTTTGGGATGTTTGCATTCAAGTCACAGAGTAGAACATTCCCTTTGGTAGAGCAGGTTTGAAACACTCTTTTTTTAGTATATGGAAGTGGACATTTGGAGCGCTTTCAGGCCTACGTTGGAAAAGGAAATATCTTCCCATAACAACTAGACAGAAGCATTCTCAGAAACTAGTTTCTGATGTGTGTCCTCAACTAACACAGTTGTACATTTCTTTAGACAGAACAGTTTTGAAACACTCTTTTTGTGGAATCTGCAAGTGGATATTGGGCTAGATTTGAGGATTTCGTTGGAAACGGGATTACATATAAAAAGCAGTCAGCAGCATTCTCAGAAAGTTCTTTGTGATGATTGCATTCAAGTCACAGAATTGAACATTCCCTTTCACAGAGCAGGTTTGAAACACTCTTTTTGTAGTGTGTGTAAGTGGACATTTGGAGCGCTTTCCGGCCTAAGGTGAAAAAGGACATATCTTCCCATAAAAACTAGACAGAAGCATTCTCAGAAACTTACTCGTGATGTGTGTCCTCAACTAAAGGAGTAGAACCTTTCTATTCATAGAGAAGTTTTGAAACGCTCTTTTTGTGGAATCTGCAAGTGGTTATTTGGCTAGTTTTGAGGATTTCGTTGGAAGCGGGAATTCATACAAATTGCAGACTGCAGCGTTCTGAGAAACATCTTTGTGATGTTTGTATTCAGGACACAGAGTTGAACATTCCCTATCATAGAGCAGGTTTGAATCACTCCTTTTGTAGTATCTGGAAGTGGACATTTGGAACGCTTTCAGGCCTATGTTGGAAAAGGAAATATCTTCCCATAACAACTAGACAGAAGCATTCTCAGAAACTTATTTGAGATGTGTGTACTCAACTAAGAGAATTGAACCACCGTTTTGAAGGAGCAGTTTTGAAACACTCTTTTTCTGGAATCTGCAAGTGGATATTTGGCTAGATTTGAGGATTTCGTTGGAAACGGGATTACATATAAAAAGCAGACAGCAGCGTTCTGAGAAACTGCTTTCTGATGTTTGCATTCAAGTCAAAAGTTGAACACTCCCTTTCATAGAGCAGTCTTGAAACACCCCTTTTGTAGTATCTGGAACTGGACTTTTGGAGCGATTTCAGGGCTAAGGTGAAAAAGGAAATATCTTCCCATAAAAACTGGACAGAAGCATTCTCAGAAACTTGTTTATGCTGTATCTACTCAACTAACAAAGTTGAACCTTTCTTTTGATAGAGCAGTTTTGAAATGGTCTTTTTGTGGAATCTGCAAGTGGATATTTGGCTAGTTTTGAGGATTTCGTTGGAAGCGGGAATTCATACAAATTGCAGACTGCAGCGTTCTGAGAAACATCTTTGTGATGTTTGTATTCAGGACACAGAGTTGAACATTCCCTATCATAGAGCAGGTTTGAATCACTCCTTTTGTAGTATCTGGAAGTGGACATTTGGAGCGCTTTCAGGCCTATGTTGGAAAAGGAAATATCTTCCCATAACAACTAGACAGAAGCATTCTCAGAAACTTGTTTGTGATGTGTGCCCTCTACTGACAGAGTTGAACCTTTCTTTTCATAGAGCAGTTTTGAAACACTCTTTTTGTAGAATCTGCAAGAGGATATTTGCATAGCTTTGAGGATTTCGTGGGAAACGGGATTGTCTTCAGGTAAAATCTAGACAGAAGCATTCTCAGAAACTTCTTTGGGATGTTTGCATTCAAGTCACAGAGTAGAACATTCCCTTTGGTAGAGCAGGTTTGAAACCCTCTTTTTGTAGTATCTGGAAGTGGACATTTGGAGCGCTTTCAGGCCCATGTTGGAAAGGGAAATATCTTCCCGTAACAACTAGGCAGAAGCATTCTCAGAAACTTATTTGAGATGTGTGTACTCAACTAAGAGAATTGAACCACCGTTTTGAAGGAGCAGTTTTGAAACCCTCTTTTTCTGGAATCTGCAAGAGTATATTTGCCTAGCCTTGAGGATTTCGTTGGAAACGGGATTGTCTTCAGATAAAATCTAGATAGAAGCATTCTCAGAAACTTCTTTGGGATGTTTGCATTCAAGTCACAGAGTAGAACATTCCCTTTGGTAGAGCAGGTTTGAAACACTCTTTTTTTAGTATATGGAAGTGGACATTTGGAGCGCTTTCAGGCCTACGTTGGAAAAGGAAATATCTTCCCATAACAACTAGACAGAAGCATTCTCAGAAACTAGTTTCTGATGTGTGTCCTCAACTAACACAGTTGTACATTTCTTTAGACAGAACAGTTTTGAAACACTCTTTTTGTGGAATCTGCAAGTGGATATTGGGCTAGATTTGAGGATTTCGTTGGAAACGGGATTACATATAAAAAGCAGTCAGCAGCATTCTCAGAAAGTTCTTTGTGATGATTGCATTCAAGTCACAGAATTGAACATTCCCTTTCATAGAGCAGGTTTGAAACACTCTTTTTGTAGTGTGTGTAAGTGGACATTTGGAGCGCTTTCCGGCCTAAGGTGAAAAAGGACATATCTTCCCATAATAACTAGACAGAAGCATTCTCAGAAACTTACTCGTGATGTGTGTCCTCAACTAAAGGAGTAGAACCTTTCTATTCATAGAGAAGTTTTGAAACGCTCTTTTTGTGGAATCTCCAAGTGGATATTTGGTTAGTTTTGAGGATTTCGTTGGAAGCGGGAATTCATACAAATTGCAGACTGCAGCGTTCTGAGAAACATCTTTGTGATGTTTGTATTCAGGACACAGAGTTGAACGTTCCCTATCATAGAGCAGGTTTGAATCACTCCTTTTGTAGTATCTGGAAGTGGACATTTGGAGCGCTTTCCGGCCTCAGGTGAAAAAGGAAATATCTTCCCATAAAAACTAGACAGAAGCATTCTCAGAAACTTACTCGTGATGTGTGTCCTCAACTAAAGGGGTAGAACCTTTCTTTTGATAGAGCAGTTTTGAAACACTCTTTTTGTAGAATCTGCAAGTGGATATTTCGATAGCTTTGTGGATTTCGTTGGAAACGGGAATATCTTCATATAAAATCTAGAGAGAAGCGTTCTGAGAAACATCGTTGTGATGTTTGTATTCAGGACACAGAGTTGAACATTCCCTATCATAGAGCAGGTTTGAATCACTCCTTTTGTAGTATCTGGAAGTGGACATTTGGAGCGCTTTCAGGCCTATGTTGGAAAAGGAAATATCTTCCCATAACAACTAGACAGAAGCATTCTCAGAAACTTATTTGAGATGTGTGTACTCAACTAAGAGAATTGAACCACCGTTTTGAAGGAGCAGTTTTGAAACACTCTTTTTCTGGAATCTGCAAGTGGATATTTGGCTAGCTTTGGGTATTTCGCTGGAAGCGGGAATACATATAAAAAGCACACAGCAGCGTTCTGAGAAACTGCTTTCTGATGTTTGCATTCAAGTCAAAAGTTGAACACTCCCTTTCATAGAGCAGTCTTGAAACACCCCTTTTGTAGTATCTGGAACTGGACATTTGGAGCGCTTTCAGGGCTAAGGTGAAAAAGGAAATATCTTCCCATAAAAACTGGACAGAAGCATTCTCAGAAACTTGTTTATGCTGTATCTACTCAACTAACAAAGTTGAACCTTTCTTTTGATAGAGCAGTTTTGAAATGCTCTTTTTGTGGAATCTGCAAGTGGATATTTGGCTAGGTTTGAGGATTTCGTTGGAAGCGGGAATTCATACAAATTGCAGACTGCAGCGTTCTGAGAAACATCTTTGTGATGTTTGTATTCAGGACACAGAGATGAACATTCCCTATCATAGAGCAGGTTGGAATCACTCCTTTTGTAGTATCTGGAAGTGGACATTTGGAGCGCTTTCAGGCCTATGTTGAAAAAGGAAATATCTTCCCATAACAACTAGACACAAGCATTCTCAGAAACTTGTTTGTGATGTGTGCCCTCTACTGACAGAGTTGAACCTTTCTTTTCATAGAGCAGTTTTGAAACACTCTTTTTGTAGAATCTGCAAGAGGATATTTGCATAGCTTTGAGGATTTCGTGGGAAACGGGATTGTCTTCAGGTAAAATCTAGACAGAAGCATTCTCAGAAACTTCTTTGGGATGTTTGCATTCAAGTCACAGAGTAGAACATTCCCTTTGGTAGAGCAGGTTTGAAACACTCTTTTTGTAGTATCTGGAAGTGGACATTTGGAGCGCTTTCAGGCCCATGTTGGAAAGGGAAATATCTTCCCGTAACAACTAGGCAGAAGCATTCTCAGAAACTTATTTGAGATGTGTGTACTCAACTAAGAGAATTGAACCACCGTTTTGAAGGACCAGTTTTGAAACACTCTTTTTCTGGAATCTGCAAGAGTATATTTGCCTAGCCTTGATGATTTCGTTGGAAACGGGATTGTCTTCAGATAAAATCTAGACAGAAGCATTCTCAGAAACTTCTTTGGGATGTTTGCATTCAAGTCACAGAGTAGAACATTCCCTTTGGTAGAGCAGGTTTGAAACACTCTTTTTTTAGTATATGGAAGTGGACATTTGGAGCGCTTTCAGGCCTACGTTGGAAAAGGAAATATCTTCCCATAACAACTAGACAGAAGCATTCTCAGAAACTAGTTTCTGATGTGTGTCCTCAACTAACACAGTTGCACATTTCTTTAGACAGAACAGTTTTGAAACACTCTTTTTGTGGAATCTGCAAGTGGCTATTTGGCTAGATTTGAGGATTTCGTTGGAAACGGGATTACATATAAAAAGCAGACAGCAGCATTCTCAGAAAGTTCTTTGTGATGATTGCATTCAAGTCACAGAATTGAACATTCCCTTTCACAGAGCAGGTTTGAAACACTCTTTTTGTAGTGTGTGTAAGTGGACATTTGGAGCACTTTCCGGCCTAAGGTGAAAAAGGAAATATCTTCCCATAAAAACTAGACAGAAGCACTCTCAGAAACTTACTCGTGATGTGTGTCCTCAACTAAAGGAGTAGAACCTTTCTTTTCATAGAGAAGTTTTGAAACGCTCTTTTTGTGGAATCTGCAAGTGGATATTTGGCTAGTTTTGAGGATTTCGTTGGAAGCGGGAATTCATACAAATTGCAGACTGCAGCGTTCTGAGAAACATCTTTGTGATGTTTGTATTCAGGACACAGAGTTGAACATTCCCTATCATAGAGCAGGTTTGAATCACTCCTTTTGTAGTATCTGGAAGTGGACATTTGGAGCGCTTTCAGGCCTATGTTGGAAAAGGAAATATCTTCCCATAACAACTAGACAGAAGCATTCTCAGAAACTTATTTGAGATGTGTGTACTCAACTAAGAGAATTGAACCACCGTTTTGAAGGAGCAGTTTTGAAACACTCTTTTTCTGGAATCTGCAAGTGGATATTTGGCTAGCTTTGGGGATTTCGCTGGAAGCGGGAATACATATAAAAAGCACACAGCAGCGTTCTGAGAAACTGCTTTCTGATGTTTGCATTCAAGTCAAAAGTTGAACACTCCCTTTCATAGAGCAGTCTTGAAACACCCCTTTTGTAGTATCTGGAAGTGGACATTTGGAGCGCTTTCAGGGCTAAGGTGAAAAAGGAAATATCTTCCCATAAAAACTGGACAGAAGCATTCTCAGAAACTTGTTTATGCTGTATCTACTCTACTAACAAAGTTGAACCTTTCTTTTGATAGAGCAGTTTTGAAATGCTCTTTTTGTGGAATCTGCAAGTGGATATTTGGCTAGTTTTGAGGATTTCGTTGGAAGCTGGAATTCATACAAATTGCAGACTGCAGCGTTCTGAGAAACATCTTTGTGATGTTTGTATTCAGGACACAGAGTTGAACATTCCCTATCATAGAGCAGGTTGGAATCACTCCTTTTGCAGTATCTGGAAGTGGACATTTGGAGCACTTTCAGGCCTATTTTGGAAAGGGAAATATCTTCCCGTAACAACTAGGCAGAAGCATTCTCTGAAACTTATTTGAGATGTGTGTACTCAACTAAGAGAATTGAACCACCGTTTTGAAGGAGCAGTTTTGAAACACTCTTTTTCTGGAATCTGCTAGAGGATATTTGCCTAGCTTTGAGGATTTCGTTGGAAACGGGATTGTCTTCAGATCAAATCTAGACAGAAGCATTCTCAGAAACTTCTTTGGGATGTTTGTATTCAAGTCACAGAGTAGAACATTCCCTTTGGTAGAGCAGGTTTGAAACACTCTTTTTTTAGTATATGGAAGTGGACATTTGGAGCGCTTTCAGGCCTACGTTGGAAAAGGAAATATCTTCCCATAACAACTAGACAGAAGCATTCTCAGAAACTAGTTTCTGATGTGTGTCCTCAACTAACACAGTTGAACTTTTCTTTAGACAGAAGAGTTTTGAAACACTCTTTTTGTGGAATCTGCAAGTGGATATTTGGCTAGATTTGAGGATCTCGTTGGAAACGGGATTACATATAAAAAGCAGTCAGCAGCATTCTCAGAAAGTTCTTTGTGATGATTGCATTCAAGTCACAGAATTGAACATTCCCTTTCACAGAGCAGGTTTGAAACACTCTTTTTGTAGTGTGTGTAAGTGGACATTTGGAGCGCTTTCTGGCCTAAGGTGAACAAGGAAATATCTTCCCATAAAAACTAGACAGAAGCATCCTCAGAAACTTACTCGTGATGTGTGTCCTCAACTAAAGGAGTAGAACCTTTCTATTCATAGAGAAGTTTTGAAATGCTCTTTTTGTGGAATCTCCAAGTGGATATTTGGCTAGTTTTGAGGATTTCGTTGGAAGCAGGAATTCATACAAATTGCAGACTGCAGCGTTCTGAGAAACATCTTTGTGATGTTTGTATTCAAGACACAGAGATGAACATTCCCTATCATAGAGCATGTTGGAATCACTCCTTTTGTAGTATCTGGAAGTGGACATTTGGAGCGCTTTCAGGCCTATGTTGAGAAAGGAAATATCTTCCCATAACAACTAGACACAAGCATTCTCAGAAACTTATTTGAGATGTGTCTACTCAACTAAGAGAATTGAACCACCGTTTTGAAGGAGCAGTTTTGAAACACTCTTTTTCTGGAATCTGCAAGTGGATATTTGGCTAGCTTTGGGGATTTCGCTGGAAGCGGGAATACATATAAAAAGCACAAAGCAGCGTTCTGAGAAACTGCTTTCTGATGTTTGCATTCAAGTCAAAAGTTGAACACTCCCTTTCATAGAGCAGTCTTGAAACACCCCTTTTGTAGTATCTGGAACTGGACTTTTGGAGCGATTTTAGGGCTAAGGTGAAAAAGGAAATATCTTCCCATAAAAACTGGACAGAAGCATTCTCAGAAACTTGTTTATGCTGTATCTACTCAACTAACAAAGTTGAACCTTTCTTTTGATAGAGCAGTTTTGAAATGGTCTTTTTGTGGAATCTGCAAGTGGATATTTGGCTAGTTTTGAGGATTTCGTTGGAAGCGGGAATTCATACAAATTGCAGACTGCAGCGTTCTGAGAAACATCTTTGTGATGTTTGTATTCAGGACACAGAGATGAACATTCCCTATCATGGAGCAGGTTGGAATCACTCCTTTTGTAGTATCTGGAAGTGGACATTTGGAGCGCTTTCAGGCCTATGTTGAAAAAGGAAATATCTTCCCATAACAACTAGACACAAGCATTCTCAGAAACTTGTTTGTGATGTGTGCCCTCTACTGACAGAGTTGAACCTTTCTTTTCATAGAGCAGTTTTGAAACACTCTTTTTGTAGAATCCGCAAGAGGATATTTGCATAGCTTTGAGGATTTCGTGGGAAACGGGATTGTCTTCAGGTAAAATCTAGACAGAAGCATTCTCAGAAACTTCTTTGGGATGTTTGCATTCAAGTCACAGAGTAGAACATTCCCTTTGGTAGAGCAGGTTTGAAACACTCTTTTTGTAGTATCTGGAAGTGGACATTTGGAGCGCTTTCAGGCCCATGTTGGAAAGGGAAATATCTTCCCGTAACAACTAGGCAGAAGCATTCTCAGAAACTTATTTGAGATGTGTGTACTCAACTAAGAGAATTGAACCACCGTTTTGAAGGAGCAGTTTTGAAACACTCTTTTTCTGGAATCTGCAAGAGTATATTTGCCTAGCCTTGAGGATTTCGTTGGAAACGGGATTGTCTTCAGAGAAAATCTAGACAGAAGCATTCTCAGAAACTTCTTTGGGATGCTTGCATTCAAGTCACAGAGTAGAACATTCCCTTTGGTAGAGCAGGTTTGAAACACTCTTTTTGTAGTATCTGGAAGTGGACATTTGGAGCGCTTTCAGGCCTACGTTGGAAAAGGAAATATCTTCCCATAACAACTAGACAGAAGCATTCTCAGAAACTAGTTTCTGATGTGTGTCCTCAACTAACACAGTTGAACATTTCTTTAGACAGAACAGTTTTGAAACACTCTTTTTGTGGAATCTGCAAGTGGCTATTTGGCTAGATTTGAGGATTTCGTTGGAAACGGGATTACATATAAAAAGCAGTCAGCAGCATTCTCAGAAAGTTCTTTGTGATGATTGCATTCAAGTCACAGTAATTGAACATTCCCTTTCACAGAGCAGGTTTGAAACACTCTTTTTGTAGTGTGTGTAAGTGGACATTTGGAGCACTTACCGGCCTAAGGTGAAAAAGGAAATAATCTTCCCATAAAAACTAGACAGAAGCATTCTCAGAAACTTACTCGTGATGTGTGTCCTCAACTAAAGGAGTAGAACCTTTCTTTTCATAGAGAAGTTTTGAAACGCTCTTTTTGTGGAATCTGCAAGTGGATATTTGGCTAGTTTTGAGGATTTCGTTGGAAGCGGGAATTCATACAAATTGCAGACTGCAGCATTCTCAGAAACTTCTTTGTGATGATTGCATTCCAGTCACAGAATTGAACATTCCCTTTCATAGACCAGGTTTGAAACACTCTTTTTGTAGTGTCTGTAAGTGGACATTTGGAGCGCTTTCCGGCCTCAGGTGAAAAAGGAAATATCTTCCCATAAAAACTAGACAGAAGCATTCTCAGAAACTTACTCGTGATGTGTGTCCTCAACTAAAGGGGTAGAACCTTTCTTTTGATAGAGCAGTTTTGAAACACTCTTTTTGTAGAATCTGCAAGTGGATATTTTGATAGCTTTGTGGATTTCGTTGGAAACGGGAATATCTTCATATAAAATCTAGAGAGAAGCGTTCTGAGAAACTGCTTTCTGATGTTTGCATTCAAGTCAAAAGTTGAACACTCCCTTTCATAGAGCAGTCCTGAAACACTCCTTTTGTAGTATCTGGAACTGGACTTTTGGATCGCTTTCAGGGCTAAGGTGAAAAAGGAAATATCTTCCCATAAAAACTGGACAGAAGCATTCTCAGAAACTTGTTTATGCTGTATCTACTCAACTAACAAAGTTGAACCTTTCTTTTGATAGAGCAGTTTTGAAATGCTCTTTTTGTGGAATCTGCAAGTGGATATTTGGCTAGTTTTGAGGATTTCGTTGGAAGCGGGAATTCATACAAATTGCAGACTGCAGCGTTCTGAGAAACATCTTTGTGATGTTTTTATTCAGGACAGAGAGTTGAACATTCCCTATCATAGAGCAGGTTGGAATCACTCCTTTTGTAGTATCTGGAAGTGGACATTTGGAGCGCTTTCAGGCCTATGTTGAAAAAGGAAATATCTTCCCATAACAACTAGACACAAGCATTCTCAGAAACTTGTTTGTGATGTGTGCCCTCTACTGACAGAGTTGAACCTTTCTTTTCATAGAGCAGTTTTGAAACACTCTTTTTGTAGAATCTGCAAGAGGATATTTGCATAGCTTTGAGGATTTCGTGGGAAACGGGATTGTCTTCAGGTAAAATCTAGACAGAAGCATTCTCAGAAACTTCTTTGGGATGTTTGCATTCAAGTCACAGAGCAGAACATTCCCTTTGGTAGAGCAGGTTTGAAACACTCTTTTTGTAGTATCTGGAAGTGGACATTTGGAGCGCTTTCAGGCCTATGTTGGAAAGGGAAATATCTTCCCGTAACAACTAGGCAGAAGCATTCTCATAAACTTATTTGAGATGTGTGTACTCAACTAAGAGAATTGAACCACCGTTTTGAAGGAGCAGTTTTGAAACACTCTTTTTCTGGAATCTGCAAGAGGATATTTGCCTAGCCTTGAGGATTTCGTTGGAAACGGGATTGTCTTCAGATCAAATCTAGACAGAAGCATTCTCAGAAACTTCTTTGGGATGTTTGCATTCAAGTCACAGAGTAGAACATTCCCTTTGGTAGAGCAGGTTTGAAACACTCTTTTTTTAGTATATGGAAGTGGACATTTGGAGCGCTTTCAGGCCTACGTTGGAAAAGGAAATATCTTCCCATAACAACTAGACAGAAGCATTCTCAGAAACTAGTTTCTGATGTGTGTCCTCAACTAACACAGTTGTACATTTCTTTAGACAGAACAGTTTTGAAACACTCTTTTTGTGGAATCTGCAAGTGGATATTGGGCTAGATTTGAGGATTTCGTTGGAAACGGGATTACATATAAAAAGCAGACAGCAGCATTCTCAGAAAGTTCTTTGTGATGATTGCATTCAAGTCACAGAATTGAACATTCCCTTTCACAGAGCAGGTTTGAAACACTCTTTTTGTAGTGTGTGTAAGTGGACATTTGGAGCACTTACCGGCCTAAGGTGAAAAAGGAAATATCTTCCCATAAAAACTAGACAGAAGCATTCTCAGAAACTTACTCGTGATGTGTGTCCTCAACTAAAGGAGTAGAACCTTTCTTTTCATAGAGAAGTTTTGAAACGCTCTTTTTGTGGAATCTGCAAGTGGATATTTGGCTAGTTTTGAGGATTTCGTTGGAAGCGGGAATTCATACAAATTGCAGACTGCAAGCGTTCTGACAAACATCTTTGTGATGTTTGTATTCAGGACACAGAGTTGAACATTCCCTATCATAGAGCAGGTTTGAATCACTCCTTTTGTAGTATCTGGAAGTGGAGATTTGGAGCGCTTTCAGGCCTATGTTGAAAAAGGAAATATCTTCCCATAACAACTAGACAGAAGCATTCTCAGAAACTTATTTGAGATGTGTGTACTCAACTAAGAGAATTGAACCACCGTTTTGAAGGAGCAGTTTTGAAACACTCTTTTTCTGGAATCTGCAAGTGGATATTTGGCTAGCTTTGGGGATTTCGCTGGAAGCGGGAATACATATAAAAAGCACAGAGCAGCGTTCTGAGAAACTGCTTTCTGATGTTTGCATTCAAGTCAAAAGTTGAACACTCCCTTTCATAGAGCAGTCTTGAAACACCCCTTTTGTAGTATCTGGAACTGGACTTTTGGAGCGATTTCAGGGCTAAGGTGAAAAAGGAAATATCTTCCCATAAAAACTGGACAGAAGCATTCTCAGAAACTTGTTTATGCTGTATCTACTCAACTAACAAAGTTGAACCTTTCTTTTGATAGAGCAGTTTTGAAATGGTCTTTTTGTGGAATCTGCAAGTGGATATTTGGCTAGTTTTGAGGATTTCGTTGGAAGCGGGAATTCATACAAATTGCAGACTGCAGCGTTCTGAGAAACATCTTTGTGATGTTTGTATTCAAGACACAGAGATGAACATTCCCTATCATAGAGCAGGTTGGAATCACTCCTTTTGTAGTATCTGGAAGTGGACATTTGGAGCGCTTTCAGGCCTATGTTGAAAAAGGAAATATCTTCCCATAACAACTAGACACAAGCATTCTCAGAAACTTGTTTGTGATGTGTGCCCTCTACTGACAGAGTTGAACCTTTCTTTTCATAGAGCAGTTTTGAAACACTCTTTTTGTAGAATCTGCAAGAGGATATTTGCATAGCTTTGAGGATTTCGTGGGAAACGGGATTGTCTTCAGGTAAAATCTAGACAGAAGCATTCTCAGAAACATCTTTGGGATGTTTGCATTCAAGTCACAGAGTAGAACATTCCCTTTGGTAGAGCAGGTTTGAAACCCTCTTTTTGTGGTATCTGGAAGTGGACTTTTGGAGCGCTATCAGGCCCATGTTGGAAAGGGAAATATCTTCCCGTAACAACTAGGCAGAAGCATTCTCAGAAACTTATTTGAGATGTGTGTACTCAACTAAGAGAATTGAACCACCGTTTTGAAGGAGCAGTTTTGAAACACTCTTTTTCTGGAATCTGCAAGAGTATATTTGCCTAGCCTTGAGGATTTCGTTGGAAACGGGATTGTCTTCAGATCAAATCTAGACAGAAGCATTCTCAGAAACTTCTTTGGGATGTTTGCATTCAAGTCACAGAGTAGAACATTCCCTTTGGTAGAGCAGGTTTGAAACACTCTTTTTTTAGTATATGGAAGTGGACATTTGGAGCGCTTTCAGGCCTACGTTGGAAAAGGAAATATCTTCCCATAACAACTAGACAGAAGCATTCTCAGAAACTAGTTTCTGATGTGTGTCCTCAACTAACACAGTTGAACTTTTCTTTAGACAGAACAGTTTTGAAACACTCTTTTTGTGGAATCTGCAAGTGGATATTGGGCTAGATTTGAGGATTTCGTTGGAAACGGGATTACATATAAAAAACAGTCAGCAGCATTCTCAGAAAGTTCTTTGTGATGATTGCATTCAAGTCACAGAATTGAACATTCCCTTTCACAGAGCAGGTTTGAAACACTCTTTTTGTAGTGTGTGTAATTGGACATTTGGAGCGCTTTCCGGCCTAAGGTGAAAAAGGAAATATCTTCCCATAAAAACTAGACAGAAGCATTCTCAGAAACTTACTCGTGATGTGTGTCCTCAACTAAAGGAGTAGAACCTTTGTTTTCATAGAGAAGTTTTGAAACGCTCTTTTTGTGGAATCTGCAAGTGGATATTTGGCTAGTTTGGAGGATTTCGTTGGAAGCGGGAATTCATACAAATTGCAGACTGCAAGCGTTCTGAGAAACATCTTTGTGATGTTTGTATTCAGGACACAGAGTTGAACATTCCCTATCATAGAGCAGGTTTGAATCACTCCTTTTGTAGTATCTGGAAGTGGACATTTGGAGCGCTTTCAGGCCTATGTTGGAAAAGGAAATATCTTCCCATAACAACTAGACAGAAGCATTCTCAGAAACTTATTTGAGATGTGTGTACTCAACTAAGAGAATTGAACCACCGTTTTGAAGGAGCAGTTTTGAAACACTCTTTTTCTGGAATCTGCAAGTGGATATTTGGCTAGCTTTGGGGATTTCGCTGGAAGCGGGAATACATATAAAAAGCACACAGCAGCGTTCTGAGAAACTGCTTTCTGATGTTTGCATTCAAGTCAAAAGTTGAACACTCCCTTTCATAGAGCAGTCTTGAAACACCCCTTTTGTAGTATCGGGAACTGGACATTTGGAGCGCTTTCAGGGCTAAGGTGAAAAAGGAAATATCTTCCCATAAAAACTGGACAGAAGCATTCTCAGAAACTTGTTTATGCTGTATCTACTCAACTAACAAAGTTGAACCTTTCTTTTGATAGAGCAGTTTTGAAATGCTCTTTTTGTGGAATCTGCAAGTGGATATTTGGCTAGTTTTGAGGATTTTCGTTGGAAGCCGGAATTCATACAAATTGCAGACTGCAGCATTCTCAGAAACTTATTTGAGATGTGTGTACTCAACTAAGAGAATTGAACCACCGTTTTGAAGGAGCAGTTTTGAAACTCTCTTTTTCTGGAATCTGCAAGTGGATATTTGGCTAGCTTTGGGGATTTCGCTGGAAGCGGGAATACATATAAAAAGCACACAGCAGCGTTCTGAGAAACTGCTTTCTGATGTTTGCATTCAAGTCAAAAGTTGAACACTCCCTTTCATAGAGCAGTCTTGAAACACCCCTTTTGTAGTATCTGGAACTGGACTTTTGGAGCGATTTCAGGGCTAAGGTGAAAAAGGAAATATCTTCCCATAAAAACTGGACAGAAGCATTCTCAGAAACTTGTTTATGCTGTATCTACTCAACTAACAAAGTTGAACCTTTCTTTTGATAGAGCAGTTTTGAAATGGTCTTTTTGTGGAATCTGCAAGTGGATATTTGGCTAGTTTTGAGGATTTCGTTGGAAGCGGGAATTCATACAAATTGCAGACTGCAGCGTTCTGAGAAACATCTTTGTGATGTTTGTATTCAAGACACAGAGATGAACATTCCCTATCATAGAGCATGTTGGAATCACTCCTTTTGTAGTATCTGGAAGTGGACATTTGGAGCGCTTTCAGGCCTATGTTGAAAAAGGAAATATCTTCCCATAACAACTAGACACAAGCATTCTCAGAAACTTGTCTGTGATGTGTGCCCTCTACTGACAGAGTTGAACCTTTCTTTTCATAGAGCAGTTTTGAAACACTCTTTTTGTAGGATCTGCAAGAGGATATTTGCATAGCTTTGAGGATTTCGTGGGAAACGGGATTGTCTTCAGGTAAAATCTAGACAGAAGCATTCTCAGAAACTTCTTTGGGATGTTTGCATTCAAGTCACAGAGTAGAACATTCCCTTTGGTAGAGCAGGTTTGAAACACTCTTTTTGTAGTATCTGGAAGTGGACATTTGGAGCGCTTTCAGGTCCATGTTGGAAAGGGAAATATCTTCCCGTAACAACTAGGCAGAAGCATTCTCAGAAACTTATTTGAGATGTGTGTACTCAACTAAGAGAATTGAACCACCGTTTTGAAGGAGCAGTTTCGAAACACTCTTTTTCTGGAATCTGCAAGAGTATATTTGCCTAGCCTTGAGGATTTCGTTGGAAACGGGATTGTCTTCAGAGAAAATCTAGACAGAAGCATTCTCAGAAACTTCTTTGGGATGCTTGCATTCAAGTCACAGAGTAGAACATTCCCTTTGGTAGAGCAGGTTTGAAACACTCTTTTTGTAGTATCTGGAAGTGGACATTTGGAGCGCTTTCAGGCCTACGTTGGAAAAGGAAATATCTTCCCATAACAACTAGACAGAAGCATTCTCAGAAACTAGTTTCTGATGTGTGTCCTCAACTAACACAGTTGAACATTTCTTTAGACAGAACAGTTTTGAAACACTCTTTTTGTGGAATCTGCAAGTGGCTATTTTGCTAGATTTGAGGATTTCGTTGGAAACGGGATTACATATAAAAAGCAGCCAGCAGCATTCTCAGAAAGTTCTTTGTGATGATTGCATTCAAGTCACAGAATTGAACATTCCCTTTCACAGAGCAGGTTTGAAACACTCTTTTTGTAGTGTGTGTAAGTGGACATTTGGAGCACTTACCGGCCTAAGGTGAAAAAGGAAATAATCTTCCCATAAAAACTAGACAGAAGCATTCACAGAAACTTACTCGTGATGTGTGTCCTCAACTAAAGGAGTAGAACCGTTCTTTTCATAGAGAAGTTTTGAAACGCTCTTTTTGTGGAATCTGCAAGTGGATATTTGGCTAGTGTTGAGGATTTCGTTGGAATGGGGAATTCATACAAATTGCAGACTGCAGCCTTCTGAGAAACATCTTTGTGATGTTTGTATTCAGGACACAGAGTTGAACATTCCCTATCATAGAGCAGGTTGGAATCACTGCTTTTGTCGTATCTGGAAGTGGACATTTGTAGCGCTTTCAGGCCTATGTTGGAAAAGGAAATATCTTCCCATAACAGCTAGACAGAAGCATTCTCAGAAACCTATTTGAGATGTGTGTACTCAACTAAGAGAATTGAACCACCGTTTTGAAGGAGCAGTTTTGAAACACTCTTTTTCTGGAATCTACAAGTGGATATTTGGCTAGCTTTGGGGATTTCGCTGGAAACGGGAATACATATAAAAAGCACACAGCAGCATTCTCAGAAACTTATTTGAGATGTGTGTACTCAACTAAGAGAATTGAACCACCGTTTTGAAGGAGCAGTTTTGAAACTCTCTTTTTCTGGAATCTGCAAGTGGATATTTGGCTAGCTTTGGGGATTTCGCTGGAAGCGGGAATACATATAAAAAGCACACAGCAGCGTTCTGAGAAACTGCTTTCTGATGTTTGCATTCAAGTCAAAAGTTGAACACTCCCTTTCATAGAGCAGTCCTGAAACACCCCTTTTGTAGTATCTGGAACTGGACTTTTGGAGCGATTTCAGGGCTAAGGTGAAAAAGGAAATATCTTCCCATAAAAACTGGACAGAAGCATTCTCAGAAACTTGTTTATGCTGTATCTACTCAACTAACAAAGTTGAACCTTTCTTTTGATAGAGCAGTTTTGAAATGGTCTTTTTGTGGAATCTGCAAGTGGATATTTGGCTAGTTTTGAGGATTTCGTTGGAAGCGGGAATTCATACAAATTGCAGACTGCAGCGTTCTGAGAAACATCTTTGTGATGTTTGTATTCAGGACACAGAGTTGAACATTCCCTATCACAGAGCAGGTTGGAATCACTCCTTTTGTACTATCTGGAAGTGGACATTTGGAGCGCTTTCAGGCCTATGTTGAAAAAGGAAATATCTTCCCATAACAACTAGACAGAAGCATTCTCAGAAACTTGTTTGTGATGTGTGCCCTCTACTGACACAGTTGAACCTTTCTTTTCATAGAGCAGTTTCGAAACACTCTTTTTGTAGAATCTGCAAGAGGATATTTGCATAGCTTTGAGGATTTCGTGGGAAACGGGATTGTCTTCAGGTAAAATCTAGACAGAAGCATTCTCAGAAACTTCTTTGGGATGTTTGCATTCAAGTCACAGAGTAGAACATTCCCTTTGGTAGAGCAGGTTTGAAACACTCTTTTAGTAGTGTGTGTAAGTGGACATTTGGAGCGCTTTCAGGCCTACGTTGGAAAAGGAAATATCTTCCCATAACAACTAGACAGAAGCATTCTCAGAAACTAGTTTCTGATGTGTGTCCTCAACTAACACAGTTGAACATTTCTTTAGACAGAACAGTTTTGAAACACTCTTTTTGTGGAATCTGCAAGTGGATATTTGGCTAGATTTGAGGATTTCGTTGGAAACGGGATTACATATAAAAAGCAGACAGCAGCATTCTCAGAAACTTCTTTGTGATGATTGCATTCAAGTCACAGAATTGAACATTCCCTTTCACAGAGCAGGTTTGAAACACTCTTTTTGTAGTGTGTGTAAGTGGACATTTGGAGCACTTTCCGGCCTAAGGTGAAAAAGGAAATATCTTCCCATAAAAACTAGACAGAAGCATTCTCAGAAACTTACTCGTGATGTGTGTCCTCAACTAAAGGAGTAGAACCTTTCTTTTCATAGAGAAGTTTTGAAACGCTCTTTTTGTGGAATCTGCAAGTGGATATTTGGCTAGTTTTGAGGATTTCGTTGGAAGCGGGAATTCATACAAATTGCAGACTGCAGCGTTCTGAGAAACATCTTTGTGATGTTTGTATTCAGGACACAGAGATGAACATTCCCTATCATAGAGCAGGTTGGAATCACTCCTTTTGTAGTATCTGGAAGTGGACATTTGGAGCGCTTTCAGGCCTATGTTGAAAAAGGAAATATCTTCCCATAACAACTAGACACAAGCATTCTCAGAAACTTATTTGAGATGTGTGTACTCAACTAAGAGAATTGAACCACCGTTTTGAAGGAGCAGTTTTGAAACACTCTTTTTCTGGAATCTGCAAGTGGATATTTGGCTAGCTTTGGGGATTTCGCTGGAAGCGGGAATACATATAAAAAGCACACAGCAGCGTTCTGAGAAACTGCTTTCTGATGTTTGCATTCAAGTCAAAAGTTGAACACTCCCTTTCATAGAGCAGTCTTGAAACACCCCTTTTGTAGTATCTGGAACTGGAAATTTGGAGCGCTTTCAGGGCTAAGGTGAAAAAGGAAATATCTTCCCATAAAAACTGGACAGAAGCATTCTCAGAAACTTGTTTATGCTGTATCTACTCAACTAACAAAGTTGAACCTTTCTTTTGATAGAGCAGTTTTGAAATGGTCTTTTTGTGGAATCTGCAAGTGGATATTTGGCTAGTTTTGAGGATTTCGTTGGAAGCGGGAATTCATACAAATTGCAGACTGCAGCGTTCTGAGAAACATCTTTGTGATGTTTGTATTCAGGACACAGAGTTGAACATTCCCTATCATAGAGCAGGTTGGAATCACTCCTTTTGTAGTATCTGGAAGTGGACATTTGGAGCGCTTTCAGGCCTATTTTGGAAAGGGAAATATCTTCCCGTAACAACTATGCAGAAGCATTCTCAGAAACTTGTTTGTGATGTGTGCCCTCTACTGACAGAGTTGAACCTTTCTTTTCATAGAGCAGTTTTGAAACACTCTTTTTGTAGAATCTGCAAGAGGATATTTGCATAGCTTTGAGGATTACGTGGGAAACGGGATAGTCTTCAGGTAAAATCTAGACAGAAGCATTCTCAGAAACTTCTTTGGGATGTTTGCATTCAAGTCACAGAGTAGAACATTCCCTTTGGTAGAGCAGGTTTGAAACACTCTTTTTGTAGTATCTGGAAGTGGACATTTGGAGCGCTTTCAGGCCCATGTTGGAAAGGGAAATATCTTCCCGTAACAACTAGGCAGAAGCATTCTCAGAAACTTATTTGAGATGTGTGTACTCAACTAAGAGAATTGAACCACCGTTTTGAAGGAGAAGTTTTGAAACACTCTTTTTCTGGAATCTGAAAGAGTATATTTGCCTAGCCTTGAGGATTTCGTTGGAAACGGGATTGTCTTCAGATAAAATCTAGACAGAAGCATTCTCAGAAACTTCTTTGGGATGTTTGCATTCAAGTCACAGAGTAGAACATTCCCTTTGGTAGAGCAGGTTTGAAACACTCTTTTTGTAGTGTGTGTAAGTGGACATTTGGAGCGCTTTCCGGCCTAAGGTGAAAAAGGAAATATCTTCCCATAAAAACTAGACAGAAGCATTCTCAGAAACTAGTTTCTGATGTGTGTCCTCAACTAACACAGTTGAACTTTTCTTTAGACAGAACAGTTTTGAAACACTCTTTTTGTGGAATCTGCAAGTGGATATTTGGCTAGATTTGAGGATTTCGTTGGAAACGGGATTACATATAAAAAGCAGACAGCAGCATTCTCAGAAAGTTCTTTGTGATGATTGCATTCAAATCACAGAATTGAACATTCCCTTTCACAGAGCAGGTTTGAAACCCTCTTTTTGTAGTGTGTGTAAGTGGACATTTGGAGCGCTTTCCGGCCTAAGGTGAAAAACGAAATATCTTCCCATAAAAACTAGACAGAAGCATTCTCAGAAACTTACTCGTGATGTGTGTCCTCAACTAAAGGAGTAGAACCTTTCTTTTCATAGAGAAGTTTTGAAACGCTCTTTTTGTGGAATCTGCAAGTGGATATTTGGCTAGTTTGGAGGATTTCGTTGGAAGCGGGAATTCATACAAATTGCAGACTGCAGCGTTCTGAGAAACATCTTTGTGATGTTTGTATTCAGGACACAGAGTTGAACATTCCCTATCATAGAGCAGGTTGGAATCACTCCTTTTGTACTATCTGGAAGTGGACATTTGGAGCGCTTTCAGGCCTATGTTGAAAAAGGAAATATCTTCCCATAACAACTAGACAGAAGCATTCTCAGAAACTTGTTTGTGATGTGTGCCCTCTACTGACACAGTTGAACCTTTCTTTTCATAGAGCAGTTTCGAAACACTCTTTTTGTAGAATCTGCAAGAGGATATTTGCATAGCTTTGAGGATTTCGTGGGAAACGGGATTGTCTTCAGGTAAAATCTAGACAGAAGCATTCTCAGAAAATTCTTCGGGATGTTTGCATTCAAGTCACAGAGTAGAACATTCCCTTTGGTAGAGCAGGTTTGAAACACTCTTTTTGTAGTATCTGGAAGTGGACATTTGGAGCGCTTTCAGGCCTATGTTGGAAAGGGAAATATCTTCCCGTAACAACTAGGCAGAAGCATTCTCAGAAACTTATTTGAGATGTGTGTACTGAACTAAGAGAATTGAACCACCGTTTTGAAGGAGCAGGTTTGAAACACTCTTTTTGTAGTATCTGGAAGTGGACATTTGGAGCGCTTTCAGGCCTATGTTGGAAAGGGAAATATCTTCCCGTAACAACTAGGCAGAAGCATTCTCAGAAACTTATTTGAGATGTGTGTACTCAACTAAGAGAATTGAACCACCGTTTTGAAGGAGCAGTTTTGAAACACTCTTTTTCTGGAATCTGCAAGAGTATATTTGCCTAGCCTTGAGGATTTCGTTGGAAACGGGATTGTCTTCAGAGAAAATCTAGACAGAAGCATTCTCAGAAACTTCTTTGGGATGCTTGCATTCAAGTCACAGAGTAGAACATTCCCTTTGGTAGAGCAGGTTTGAAACACTCTTTTTGTAGTATCTGGAAGTGGACATTTGGAGCGCTTTCAGGCCTACGTTGGAAAAGGAAATATCTTCCCATAACAACTAGACAGAAGCATTCTCAGAAACTAGTTTCTGATGTGTGTCCTCAACTAACACAGTTGAACATTTCTTTAGACAGAACAGTTTTGAAACACTCTTTTTGTGGAATCTGCAAGTGGCTATTTGGCTAGATTTGAGGATTTCGTTGGAAACGGGATTACATATAAAAAGCAGTCAGCAGCATTCTCAGAAAGTTCTTTGTGATGATTGCATTCAAGTCACAGAATTGAACATTCCCTTTCACAGAGCAGGTTTGAAACACTCTTTTTGTAGTGTGTGTAAGTGGACATTTGGAGCACTTACCGGCCTAAGGTGAAAAAGGAAATATCTTCCCATAAAAACTAGACAGAAGCATTCTCAGAAACTTACTCGTGATGTGTGTCCTCAACTAAAGGAGTAGAACCTTTCTTTTCATAGAGAAGTTTTGAAACGCTCTTTTTGTGGAATCTGCAAGTGGATATTTGGCTAGTTTGGAGGATTTCGTTGGAAGCGGGAATTCATACAAATTGCAGACTGCAGCGTTCTGAGAAACATCTTTGTGATGTTTGTATTCAAGACACAGAGTTGAACATTCCCTATCATAGAGCAGGTTGGAATCACTCCTTTTGTAGTATCTGGAAGTGGACATTTGGAGTGCTTTCAGGCCTATGTTGGAAAAGGAAATATCTTCCCATAACAACTAGACAGAAGCATTCTCAGAAACTTATTTGAGATGTGTGTACTCAACTAAGAGAATTGAACCACCGTTTTGAAGGAGCAGTTTTGAAACACTCTTTTTCTGGAATCTGCAAGTGGATATTTGGCTAGCTTTGGGGATTTCGCTGGAGGCGGGAATACAAATAAAAAGCACACAGCAGCGTTCTGAGAAACTGCTTTCTGATGTTTGCATTCAAGTCAAAAGTTGAACACTCCCTTTCATAGAGCAGTCCTGAAACACTCCTTTTGTAGTATCTGGAACTGGACTTTTGGAGCGCTTTCAGGGCTAAGGTGAAAAAGGAAATATCTTCCCATAAAAACTGGACAGAAGCATTCTCAGAAACTTGTTTATGCTGTATCTACTCAACTAACAAAGTTGAACCTTTCTTTTGATAGAGCAGTTTTGAAATGCTCTTTTTGTGGAATCTGCAAGTGGATATTTGGCTAGTTTTGAGGATTTCGTTGGAAGCGGGAATTCATACAAATTGCAGACTGCAGCGTTCTGAGAAACATCTTTGTGATGTTTGTATTCAGGACAGAGAGTTGAACATTCCCTATCATAGAGCAGGTTGGAATCACTCCTTTTGTAGTATCTGGAAGTGGACATTTGGAGCGCTTTCTGGCCTATGTTGAAAAAGGAAATATCTTCCCATAACAACTAGACACAAGCATTCTCAGAAACTTGTTTGTGATGTGTGCCCTCTACTGACAGAGTTGAACCTTTCTTTTCATAGAGCAGTTTTGAAACACTCTTTTTGTAGAATCTGCAAGAGGATATTTGCATAGCTTTGAGGATTTCGTGGGAAACGGGATTGTCTTCAGGTAAAATCTAGACAGAAGCATTCTCAGAAACTTCTTTGGGATGTTTGCATTCAAGTCACAGAGTAGAACATTCCCTTTGGTAGAGTAGGTTTGAAACACTCTTTTTGTAGTATTTGGAAGTGGACATTTGGAGCGCTTTCAGGCCCATGTTGGAAAGGGAAATATCTTCCCGTAACAACTAGGCAGAAAGCATTCTCAGAAACTTATTTGAGATGTGTGTACTCAACTAAGAGAATTGAACCACCGTTTTGAAGGAGCAGTTTTGAAACACTCTTTTTCTGGAATCTGCAAGAGGATATTTGCCTAGCCTTGAGGATTTCGTTGGAAACGGGATTGTCTTCAGATCAAATCTAGACAGAAGCATTCTCAGAAACTTCTTTGGGATGTTTGCATTCAAGTCACAGAGTAGAACATTCCCTTTGGTAGAGCAGGTTTGAAACACTCTTTTTTTAGTATATGGAAGTGGACATTTGGAGCGCTTTCAGGCCTACGTTGGAAAAGGAAATATCTTCCCATAACAACTAGACAGAAAGCATTCTCAGAAACTAGTTTCTGATGTGTGTCCTCAACTAACACAGTTGAACTTTTCTTTAGACAGAACAGTTTTGAAACACTCTTTTTGTGGAATCTGCAAGTGCATATTGGGCTAGATTTGAGGATTTCGTTGGAAACGGGATTACATATAAAAAGCAGACAGCAGCATTCTCAGAAAGTTCTTTGTGATGATTGCATTCAAGTCACAGAATTGAACATTCCCTTTCACAGAGCAGGTTTGAAACACTCTTTTTGTAGTGTGTGTAAGTGGACATTTGGAGCGCTTTCCGGCCTAAGGTGAAAAAGGACATATCTTCCCATAAAAACTAGACAGAAGCATTCTCAGAAACTTACTCGTGATGTGTGTCCTCAACTAAAGGAGTAGAACCTTTCTATTCATAGAGAAGTTTTGAAACGCTCTTTTTGTGGAATCTCCAAGTGGATATTTGGTTAATTTTGAGGATTTCGTTGGAAGCGGGAATTCATACAAATTGCAGACTGCAGCGTTCTGAGAAACATCTTTGTGATGTTTGTATTCAAGACACAGAGATGAACATTCCCTATCATAGAGCATGTTGGAATCACTCCTTTTGTAGTATCTGGAAGTGGACATTTGGAGCGCTTTCAGGCCTATGTTGAAAAAGGAAATATCTTCCCATATCAACTAGACACAAGCGTTCTCAGAAACTTGTTTGTGATGTGTGCCCTCTACTGACAGAGTTGAACCTTTCTTTTCATAGAGCAGTTTTGAAACACTCTTTTTGTAGAATCTGCAAGAGGATATTTGCATAGCTTTGAGGATTTCGTGGGAAACGGGATTGTCTTCAGGTAAAATCTAGAGAGAAGCATTCTCAGAAACTTCTTTGGGATGTTTGCCTTCAAGTCACAGAGTAGAACATTCCCTTTGGTAGAGCAGGTTTGAAACACTCTTTTTGTAGTATCTGGAAGTGGACATTTGGAGCGCTTTCAGGCCCATGTTGGAAAGGGTAATATCTTCCCGTAACAACTAGGCAGAAGCATTCTCAGAAACTTATTTGAGATGTGTGTACTCAACTAAGAGAATTGAACCACCGTTTTGAAGGAGCAGTTTTGAAACACTCTTTTTCTGGAATCTGCAAGAGGATATTTGCCTAGCCTTGAGGATTTCTTTGGAAACGGGATTGTCTTCAGATCAAATCTAGACAGAAGCATTCTCAGAAACTTCTTTGGGATGTTTGCATTCAAGTCACAGAGTAGAACATTCCCTTTGGTAGAGCAGGTTTGAAACACTCTTTTTTTAGTATATGGAAGTGGACATTTGGAGCGCTTTCAGGCCTACGTTGGAAAAGGAAATATCTTCCCATAACAACTAGACAGAAGCATTCTCAGAAACTAGTTTCTGATGTGTGTCCTCAACTAACACAGTTGAACATTTCTTTAGACAGAACAGTTTTGAAACACTCTTTTTGTGGAATCTACAAGTGGATATTTGGCTAGATTTGAGGATTTCGTTGGAAACGGGATTACATATAAAAAGCAGACAGCAGCATTCTCAGAAAGTTCTTTGTGATGATTGCATTCAAATCACAGAATTGAACATTCCCTTTCACAGAGGAGGTTTGAAACACTCTTTTTGTAGTGTGTGTAAGTGGACATTTGGAGCACTTTCCGGCCTAAGGTGAAAAAGGAAATATCTTCCCATAAAAACTAGACAGAAGCATTCTCAGAAACTTACTCGTGATGTGTGTCCTCAACTAAAGGAGTAGAACCTTTGTTTTCATAGATAAGTTTTGAAACGCTCTTTTTGTGGAATCTGCAAGTGGATATTTGGCTAGTTTGGAGGATTTCGTTGGAAGCGGGAATTCATACAAATTGCAGACTGCAGCGTTCTGAGAAACATCTTTGTGATGTTTGTATTCAGGACACAGAGATGAACATTCCCTATCATAGAGCAGGTTGGAATCACTCCTTTTGTAGTATCTGGGACATTTGGAGCGCTTTCAGGCCTATGTTGAAAAAGGAAATATCTTCCCATAACAACTAGACACAAGCATTCTCAGAAACTTGTTTGTGATGTGTGCCCTCTACTGACAGAGTTGAACCTTTCTTTTCATAGAGCAGTTTTGAAACACTCTTTTTGTAGAATCTGCAAGAGGATATTTGCATAGCTTTGAGGATTTCGTGGGAAACGGGATTGTCTTCAGGTAAAATCTAGACAGAAGCATTCTCAGAAACTTCTTTGGGATGTTTGCATTCAAGTCACAGAGTAGAACATTCCCTTTGGTAGAGCAGGTTTGAAACACTCTTTTTGTAGTATCTGGAAGTGGACATTTGGAGCGCTTTCAGGCCTATGTTGGAAAGGGAAATATCTTCCCGTAACAACTAGGCAGAAGCATTCTCAGAAACTTATTTGAGATGTGTGTACTCAACTAAGAGAATTGAACCACCGTTTTGAAGGAGCAGTTTTGAAACACTCTTTTTCTGGAATCTGCAAGAGGATATTTGCCTAGCCTTGAGGATTTCGTTGGAAACGGGATTGTCTTCAGATCAAATCTGGACAGAAGCATTCTCAGAAACTTCTTTGGGATGTTTGCATTCAAGTCACAGAGTAGAACATTCCCTTTGGTAGAGCAGGTTTGAAACACTCTTTTTTTAGTATATGGAAGTGGACATTTGGAGCGCTTTCAGGCCTACGTTGGAAAAGGAAATATCTTCCCATAACAACTAGACAGAAGGATTCTCAGAAACTAGTTTCTGATGTGTGTCCTCAACTAACACAGTTGTACATTTCTTTATACAGAACAGTTTTGAAACACTCTTTTTGTGGAATCTGCAAGTGGATATTGGGCTAGATTTGAGGATTTCGTTGGAAACGGGATTACATATAAAAAGCAGACAGCAGCATTCTCAGAAAGTTCTTTGTGATGATTGCATTCAAGTCACAGAATTGAACATTCCCTTTCACAGAGCAGGTTTGAAACACTCTTTTTGTAGTGTGTGTAATTGGACATTTGGAGCGCTTTCCGGCCTAAGGTGAAAAAGGAAATATCTTCCCATAAAAACTAGACAGAAGCATTCTCAGAAACTTACTCGTGATGTGTGTCCTCAACTAAAGGAGTAGAACCTTTCTTTTCATAGAGAAGTTTTGAAACGCTCTTTTTGTGGAATCTGCAAGTGGATATTTGGCTAGTTTTGAGGATTTCGTTGGAAGCGGGAATTCATACAAATTGCAGACTGCAGCGTTCTGAGAAACATCTTTGTGATGTTTGTATTCACGACACAGAGTTGAACATTCCCTATCATAGAGCAGGTTGGAATCACTCCTTTTGTAGTATCTGGAAGTGGACATTTGGAGCGCTTTCAGGCCTATGTTGGAAAAGGAAATATCTTCCCATAACAACTAGACAGAAGCATTCTCAGAAACTTATTTGAGATGTGTGTACTCAACTAAGAGAATTGAACCACCGTTTTGAAGGAGCAGTTTTGAAACACTCTTTTTCTGGAATCTGCAAGTGGATATTTGGCTAGCTTTGGGGATTTCGCTGGAAGCGGGAATACATATAAAAAGCACACAGCAGCGTTCTGAGAAACTGCTTTCTGATGTTTGCATTCAAGTCAAAAGTTGAACACTCCATTTCATAGAGCAGTCCTGAAACACTCCTTTTGTAGTATCTGGAACTGGGCTTTTGGAGCGCTTTCAGGGCTAAGGTGAAAAAGGAAATATCTTCCCATAAAAACTGGACAGAAGCATTCTCAGAAACTTGTTTATGCTGTATCTACTCAACTAACAAAGTTGAACCTTTCTTTTGATAGAGCAGTTTTGAAATGCTCTTTTTGTGGAATCTGCAAGTGGATATTTGGCTAGTTTTGAGGATTTCGTTGGAAGCGGGAATTCATACAAATTGCAGACTGCAGCGTTCTGAGAAACATCTTTGTGATGTTTGTATTCAGGACAGAGAATTGAACATTCCCTATCATAGAGCAGGTTGGAATCACTCCTTTTGTAGTATCTGGAAGTGGACATTTGGAGCGCTTTCAGGCCTATGTTGAAAAAGGAAATATCTTCCCATAACAACTAGACACAAGCATTCTCAGAAACTTGTTTGTGATGTGTGCCCTCTACTGACAGAGTTGAACCTTTCTTTTCATAGAGCAGTTTTGAAACACTCTTTTTGTAGAATCTGCAAGAGGATATTTGCATAGCTTTGAGGATTTCGTGGGAAACGGGATTGTCTTCAGGTAAAATCTAGACAGAAGCATTCTCAGAAACTTTTTTGGGATGTTTGCATTCAAGTCACAGAGTAGAACATTCCCTTTGGTAGAGCAGGTTTGAAACACTCTTTTTGTAGTATCTGGAAGTGGACATTTGGAGCACTTTCAGGCCCATGTTGGAAAGGGAAATATCTTCCCGTAACAACTAGGCAGAAGCATTCTCAGAAACTTATTTGAGATGTGTGTACTCAACTAAGAGAATTGAACCACCGTTTTGAAGGAGCAGTTTTGAAACACTCTTTTTCTGGAATCTGCAAGAGTATATTTGCCTAGCCTTGAGGATTTCGTTGGAAACGGGATTGTCTTCAGAGAAAATCTAGACAGAAGCATTCTCAGAAACTTCTTTGGGATGTTTGCATTCAAGTCACAGAGTAGAACATTCCCTTTGGTAGAGCAGGTTTGAAACACTCTTTTTTTAGTATATGGAAGTGGACATTTGGAGCGCTTTCAGGCCTACGTTGGAAAAGGAAATATCTTCCCATAACAACTAGACAGAAAGCATTCTCAGAAACTAGTTTCTGATGTGTGTCCTCAACTAACACAGTTGAACATTTCTTTAGACAGAACAGTTTTGAAACACTCTTTTTGTGGAATCTGCAAGTGGCTATTTGGCTAGATTTGAGGATTTCGTTGGAAACGGGATTACATATAAAAAGCAGACAGCAGCATTCTCAGAAAGTTCTTTGTGATGATTGCATTCAAGTCACAGAATTGAACATTCCCTTTCACAGAGCAGGTTTGAAACACTCTTTTTGTAGGGTGTGTAAGTGGACATTTGGAGCACTTTCCGGCCTAAGGTGAAAAAGGAAATATCTTCCCATAAAAACTAGACAGAAGCATTCTCAGAAACTTACTCGTGATGTGTGTCCTCAACTAAAGGAGTAGAACCTTTCTTTTCATAGAGAAGTTTTGAAACGCTCTTTTTGTGGAATCTGCAAGTGGATATTTGGCTAGTTTTGAGGATTTCGTTGGAAGCGGGAATTCATACAAATTGCAGACTGCAGCTTTCTGAGAAACATCTTTGTGATGTTTGTATTCAGGACACAGAGTTGAACATTCCCTATCATAGAGCAGGTTTGAATCACTCCTTTTGTAGTATCTGGAAGTGGACATTTGGAGCGCTTTCAAGCCTATGTTGGAAAAGGAAATATCTTCCCATAACAACTAGACAGAAGCATTCTCAGAAACTTATTTGAGATGTGTGTACTCAACTAAGAGAATTGAACCACCGTTTTGAAGGAGCAGTTTTGAAACACTCTTTTTCTGGAATCTGCAAGTGGATATTTGGCTAGCTTTGGGGATTTCGCTGGAAGCGGGAATACATATAAAAAGCCCACAGCAGCGTTCTGAGAAACTGCTTTCTGATGTTTGCATTCAAGTCAAAAGTTGAACACTCCCTTTCATAGTGCAGTCCTGAAACACTCCTTTTGTAGTATCTGGAACTGGACTTTTGGAGCGCTTTCAGGGCTAAGGTGAAAAAGGAAATATCTTCCCATAAAAACTGGACAGAAGCATTCTCAGAAACTTGTTTATGCTGTATCTACTCAACTAACAAAGTTGAACCTTTCTTTTGATAGAGCAGTTTTGAAATGCTCTTTTTGTGGAATCTGCAAGTGGATATTTGGCTAGTTTTGAGGATTTCGTTGGAAGCGGGAATTCATACAAATTGCAGACTGCAGCGTTCTGAGAAACATCTTTGTGATGTTTGTATTCAGGACAGAGAGTTGAACATTCCCTATCATAGAGCAGGTTGGAATCACTCCTTTTGTAGTATCTGGAAGTGGACATTTGGAGCGCTTTCAGGCCTATGTTGAAAAAGGAAATATCTTCCCATAACAACTAGACACAAGCATTCTCAGAAACTTGTTTGTGATGTGTGCCCTCTACTGACAGAGTTGAACCTTTCTTTTCATAGAGCAGTTTTGAAACACTCTTTTTGTAGAATCTGCAAGAGGATATTTGCATAGCTTTGAGGATTTCGTGGGAAACGGGATTGTCTTCAGGTAAAATCTAGACAGAAGCATTCTCAGAAACTTCTTTGGGATGTTTGCATTCAAGTCACAGAGTAGAACATTCCCTTTGGTAGAGCTGGTTTCAAACACTCTTTTTGTAGTATCTGGAAGTGGACATTTGGAGCGCTTTCAGGCCCATGTTGGAAAGGGAAATATCTTCCCTTAACAACTAGGCAGAAGCATTCTCAGAAACTTATTTGAGATGTGTGTACTCAACTAAGAGAATTGAACCACCGTTTTGAAGGAGCAGTTTTGAAACACTCTTTTTCTGGAATCTGCAAGAGTATATTTGCCTAGCCTTGAGGATTTCGTTGGAAACGGGATTGTCTTCAGAGAAAATCTAGACAGAAGCATTCTCAGAAACTTCTTTGGGATGTTTGCACTCAAGTCACAGAGTAGAACATTCCCTTTGGTAGAGCAGGTTTGAAACACTCTTTTTTTAGTATATGGAAGTGGACAATTGGAGCGCTTTCAGGCCTAGGTTTGAAAAGGAAATATCTTCCCATAACAACTTGACAGAAGCATTCTCAGAAACTAGTTTCTGATGTGTGTCCTCAACTAACACAGTTGTACATTTCTTTAGACAGAACAGTTTTGAAACACTCTTTTTGTGGAATCTGCAAGTGGATATTGGGCTAGATTTGAGGATTTCGTTGGAAACGGGATTACATATAAAAAGCAGTCAGCAGCATTCTCAGAAAGTTCTTTGTGATGATTACATTCAAGTCACAGAATTGAACATTCCCTTTCACAGAGCAGGTTTGAAACACTCTTTTTGTAGTGTGTGTAAGTGGACATTTGGAGCGCTTTCCGGCCTAAGGTGAAAAAGGACATATCTTCCCATAAAAACTAGACAGAAGCATTCTCAGAAACTTACTCGTGATGTGTGTCCTCAACTAAAGGAGTAGAACCTTTCTATTCATAGAGAAGTTTTCAAACGCTCTTTTTGTGGAATCTCCAAGTGGATATTTGGCTAGTTTTGAGGATTTCGTTGGAAGCGGGAATTCATACAAATTGCAGACTGCAGCGTTATGAGAAACATCTTTGTGATGTTTGTATTCAGGACACAGAGATGAACATTCCCTATCAGAGCAGGTTGGAATCACTCCTTTTGTAGTATCTGGAAGTGGACATTTGGAGCGCTTTCAGGCCTATGTTGAAAAAGGAAATATCTTCCCATAACAACTAGACACAAGCATTCTCAGAAACTTGTTTGTGATGTGTACCCTGTACTGACAGAGTTGAACCTTTCTTTTCATAGAGCAGTTTTGAAACACTCTTTTTGTAGAATCTGCAAGAGGATATTTGCATAGCTTTGAGGATTTCGTGGGAAACGGGATTGTCTTCAGGTAAAATCTAGACAGAAGCATTCTCAGAAACTTCTTTGGGATGTTTGCATTCAAGTCACAGAGTAGAACATTCCCTTTGGTAGAGCAGGTTTGAAACACTCTTTTTGTAGTATCTGGAAGTGGACATTTGGAGCGCTTTCAGGCCCATGTTGGAAAGGGAAATATCTTCCCGTAACAACTAGGCAGAAGCATTCTCAGAAACTTATTTGAGATGTGTGTACTCAACTAAGAGAATTGAACCACCGTTTTGAAGGAGCAGTTTTGAAACCCTCTTTTTCTGGAATCTGCTAGAGTATATTTGCCTAGCCTTGAGGATTTCGTTGGAAACGGGATTGTCTTCAGATAAAATCTAGACAGAAGCATTCTCAGAAACTTCTTTGGGATGTTTGCATTCAAGTCACAGAGTAGAACATTCCCTTTGGTAGAGCAGGTTTGAAACACTCTTTTTTTAGTATATGGAAGGACATTTGGAGCGCTTTCAGGCCTACGTTGGAAAAGGAAATATCTTCCCATAGCAACTAGACAGAAGCATTCTCAGAAACTAGTTTCTGATGTGTGTCCTCAACTAACACAGTTGAACTTTTCTTTAGACAGAACAGTTTTGAAACACTCTTTTTGTGGAATCTGCAAGTGGATATTGGGCTAGATTTGTGGATTTCGTTGGAAACGGGATTACATATAAAAAGCAGTCAGCAGCATTCTCAGAAAGTTCTTTGTGATGATTGCATTCAAGTCACAGAATTGAACATTCCCTTTCACAGAGCAGGTTTGAAACACCCTTTTTGTAGTGTGTGTAAGTGGACATTTGGAGCGCTTTCCGGCCTAAGGTGAAAAAGGACATATCTTCCCATAAAAACTAGACAGAAGCATTCTCAGAAACTTACTAGTGATGTGTGTCCTCAACTAAAGGAGTAGAACCTTTCTATTCATAGAGAAGTTTTGAAACGCTCTTTTTGTGGAATCTCCAAGTGGATATTTGGCTAGTTTTGAGGATTTCGTTGGAAGCGGGAATTCATACAAATTGCAGACTGCAGCGTTCTGAGAAACATCTTTGTGATGTTTGTATTCAGGACACAGAGTTGAACATTCCCTATCATAGAGCAGGTTTGAATCACTCCTTTTGTAGTATCTGGAAGTGGACATTTGGAGCGCTTTCAGGCCTATGTTGGAAAAGGAAATATCTTCCCATAACAAGTAGACAGAAGCATTCTCAGAAACTTATTTGAGATGTGTGTACTCAACTAAGAGAATTGAACCACCGTTTTAAAGGAGCAGTTTTGAAACACTCTTTTTCTGGAATCTGCAAGTGGCTATTTGGCTAGCTTTGGGGATTTCGCTGGAAGCGGGAATACATATAAAAAGCACACAGCAGCGTTCTGAGAAACTGCTTTCTGATGTTTGCATTCAAGTCAAAAGTTGAACACTCCCTTTCATAGAGCAGTCTTGAAACACCCCTTTTGTAGTATCTGGAACTGGACTTTTGGAGCGATTTCAGGGCTAAGGTGAAAAAGGAAATATCTTCCCATAAAAACTGGACAGAAGCATTCTCAGAAACTTGTTTATGCTGTATCTACTCAACTAACAAAGTTGAACCTTTCTTTTGATAGAGCAGTTTTGAAATGGTCTTTTTGTGGAATCTGCAAGTGGATATTTGGCTAGTTTTGAGGATTTCGTTGGAAGCGGGAATTCATACAAATTGCAGACTGCAGCGTTCTGAGAAACATCTTTGTGATGTTTGTATTCAGGACACAGAGATGAACATTCCCTATCATAGAGCAGGTTGGAATCACTCCTTTTGTAGTATCTGGAAGTGGACATTTGGAGCGCTTTCAGGCCTATGTTGAAAAAGGAAATATCTTCCCATAACAACTAGACACAAGCATTCTCAGAAACTTGTTTGTGATGTGTGCCCTCTACTGACAGAGTTGAACCTTTCTTTTCATAGAGCAGTTTTGAAACACTCTTTTTGTAGAATCTGCAAGAGGATATTTGCATAGCTTTGAGGATTTCGTGGGAAACGGGATTGTCTTCAGGTAAAATCTAGACAGAAGCATTCTCAGAAACTTCTTTGGGATGTTTGCATTCAAGTCACAGAGTAGAATATTCCCTTTGGTAGAGCAGGTTTGAAACACTCTTTTTATAGTATCTGGAAGTGGACATTTGGAGCGCTTTCAGGCCTATGTTGGAAAGGGAAATATCTTCCCGTAACAACTAGGCAGAAGCATTCTCAGAAACTTATTTGAGATGTGTGTACTCAACTAAGAGAATTGAACCACCGTTTTGAAGGAGCAGTTTTGAAACACTCTTTTTCTGGAATCTGCAAGAGGATATTTGCCTAGCTTTGAGGATTTCGTTGGAAACGGGATTGTCTTCAGATCAAATCTAGACAGAAGCATTCTCAGAAACTTCTTTGGGATGTTTGCATTCAAATCACAGAGTAGAACATTCCCTTTGGTAGAGCAGGTTTGAAACACTCTTTTTTTAGTATATGGAAGTGGACATTTGGAGCGCTTTCAGGCCTACGTTGGAAAAGGAAATATCTTCCCATAACAATTAGACAGAAGCATTCTCAGAAACTAGTTTCTGATGTGTGTCCTCAACTAACACAGTTGAACATTTCTTTAGACAGAACAGTTTTGAAACACTCTTTTTGTGGAATCTGCAAGTGGCTATTTGGCTAGATTTGAGGATTTCGTTGGAAACGGGATTACATATAAAAAGCAGACAGCAGCATTCTCAGAAAGTTCTTTGTGATGATTGCATTCAAGTCACAGAATTGAACATTCCCTTTCACAGAGCAGGTTTGAAACACTCTTTTTGTAGTGTGTGTAAGTGGACATTTGGAGCGCTTTCCGGCCTAAGGTGAAAAAGGACATATCTTCCCATAAAAACTAGACAGAAGCATTCTCAGAAACTTACTCGTGATGTGTGTCCTCAACTAAAGGAGTAGAACCTTTCTTTTCATAGAGAAGTTTTGAAACGCTCTTTTTGTGGAATCTGCAAGTGGATATTTGGCTAGTTTGGAGGATTTCGTTGGAAGCGGGAATTCATACAAATTGCAGACTGCAGCGTTCTGAGAAACATCTTTGTGATGTTTGTATTCAGGACACAGAGTTGAACATTCCCTATCATAGAGCAGGTTGGAATCACTCCTTTTGTAGTATCTGGAATTGGACATTTGGAGCGCTTTCAGGCCTATGTTGGAAAAGGAAATATCTTCCCATAACAACTAGACAGAAGCATTCTCAGAAACTTATTTGAGATGTGTGTACTCAACTAAGAGAATTGAACCACCGTTTTGAAGGAGCAGTTTTGAAACACTCTTTTTCTGGAATCTGCAAGTGGATATTTGGCTAGCTTTGGGGATTTCGCTGGAGGCGGGAATACATATAAAAAGCACACAGCAGCGTTCTGAGAAACTGCTTTCTGATGTTTGCATTCAAGTCAAAAGTTGAACACTCCCTTTCATAGAGCAGTCCTGAAACACTCCTTTTGTAGTATCTGGAACTGGACTTTTGGAGCGCTTTCAGGGCTAAGGTGAAAAAGGAAATATCTTCCCATAAAAACTGGACAGAAGCATTCTCAGAAACTTGTTTATGCTGTATCTACTCAACTAACAAAGTTGAACCTTTCTTTTGATAGAGCAGTTTTGAAATGCTCTTTTTGTGGAATCTGCAAGTGGATATTTGGCTAGTTTTGAGGATTTCGTTGGAAGCGGGAATTCATACAAATTGCAGACTGCAGGATTCTGAGAAACATCTTTGTGATGTTTGTATTCAGGACAGAGAGTTGAACATTCCCTATCATAGAGCAGGTTGGAATCACTCCTTTTGTAGTATCTGGAAGTGGACATTTGGAGCGCTTTCAGGCCTATGTTGAAAAAGGAAATATCTTCCCATAACAACTAGACACAAGCATTCTCAGAAACTTGTTTGTGATGTGTGCCCTCTACTGACAGAGTTGAACCTTTCTTTTCATAGAGCAGTTTTGAAACACTCTTTTTGTAGAATCTGCAAGAGGATATTTGCATAGCTTTGAGGATTTCGTGGGAAACGGGATTGTCTTCAGGTAAAATCTAGACAGAAGCGTTCTGAGAAACATCTTTGTGATGTTTGTATTCAGGACACAGAGTTGAACATTCCCTATCATAGAGCAGGTGGGAATCACTCCTTTTGTAGTATCTGGAAGTGGACATTTGGAGCGCTTTCAGGCCTATGTTGGAAAAGGAAATATCTTCCCATAACAAATAGACAGAAGCATTCTCAGAAACTTATTTGAGATGTGTGTACTCAACTAAGAGAATTGAACCACCGTTTTGAAGGAGCAGTTTTGAAACACTCTTTTTCTGGAATCTGCAATTGGATATTTGGCTAGCATTGGGGATTTCGCTGGAAGCGGGAATACATATAAAAAGCACACAGCAGCATTCTCAGAAAGTTACTCGTGATGTGTGTCCTCAACTAAAGGAGTAGAAACTTTCTTTTCATAGAGAAGTTTTGAAACGCTCTTTTTGTGGAATCTGCAAGTGGATATTTGGCTAGTTTTGAGGATTTCGTTGGAAGCGGGAATTCATACAAATTGCAGACTGCTAAGCATTCTCAGAAACTTGTTTATGCTGTATCTACTCAACTAACAAAGTTGAACCTTTCTTTTGATAGAGCAGTTTTGAAATGCTCTTTTTGTGGAATCTGCAAGTGGATATTTGGCTAGTTTTGAGGATTTCATTGGAAGCGGGAATTCATACAAATTGCAGACTGCAGCGTTCTGAGAAACATCTTTGTGATGTTTGTATTCAGGACACAGAGTTGAACATTCCCTATCATAGAGCAGGTTGGAATCACTCCTTTTGTAGTATCTGGAAGTGGACATTTGGAGCGCTTTCAGGCCTATGTTGAAAAAGGAAATATCTTCCCATAACAAGTAGACACAAGCATTCTCAGAAACTTGTTTGTGATGTGTGCCCTCTACTGACAGAGTTGAACCTTTCTTTTCATAGAGCAGTTTCGAAACACTCTTTTTGTAGAATCTGCAAGAGGATATTTGCATAGCTTTGAGGATTTCGTGGGAAACGGGATTGTCTTCAGGTAAAATCTAGACAGAAGCATTCTCAGAAAATTCTTCGGGATGTTTGCATTCAAGTCACAGAGTAGAACATTCCCTTTGGTAGAGCAGGTTTGAAACACTCTTTTTGTAGTATCTGGAAGTGGACATTTGGAGCGCTTTCAGGCCTATGTTGGAAAGGGAAATATCTTCCCGTAACAACTAGGCAAAAGCATTCTCAGAAACTTATTTGAGATGTGTGTACTGAACTAAGAGAATTGAACCACCGTTTTGAAGGAGCAGGTTTGAAACACTCTTTTTGTAGTATCTGGAAGTGGACATTTGGAGCGCTTTCAGGCCTATGTTGGAAAGGGAAATATCTTCCCGTAACAACTAGGCAGAAGCATTCTCAGAAACTTATTTGAGATGTGTGTACTCAACTAAGAGAATTGAACCACCGTTTTGAAGGAGCAGTTTTGAAACACTCTTTTTCTGGAATCTGCAAGAGGATATTTGCATAGATTTGAGGATTTCGTTGGAAACGGGATTGTCTTCAGATCCAATCTAGACAGAAGCATTCTCAGAAACTTCTTTGGGATGTTTGCATTCAAGTCACAGAGTAGAACATTCCCTTTGGTAGAGCAGGTTTGAAACACTCTTTTTTTAGTATATGGAAGTGGACATTTGGAGCGCTTTCAGGCCTACGTTGGAAAAGGAAATATCTTCCCATAACAACTAGACAGAAGCATTCTCAGAAACTAGTTTCTGATGTGTGTCCTCAATTAACACAGTTGAACTTTTCTTTAGACAGAACAGTTTTGAAACACTCTTTTTGTGGAATCTGCAAGTGGATATTGGGCTAGATTTGAGGATTTCGTTGGAAACGGGATTACATATAAAAAGCAGACAGCAGCATTCTCAGAAAGTTCTTTGTGATGATTGCATTCAAGTCACAGAATTGAACATTCCCTTTCACAGAGCAGGGTTGAAACACGCTTTTTGTAGTGTGTGTAAGTGGACATTTGGAGTGCTTTCCGGCCTAAGGTGAAAAAGGAAATATCTTCCCATAAAAACTAGACAGAAGCATTCTCAGAAACTTACTCGTGATGTGTGTCCTCAACTAAAGGAGTAGAACCTTTCTATTCATAGAGAAGTTTTGAAACGCTCTTTTTGTGGAATCTCCAAGTGGATATTTGGCTAGTGTTGAGGATTTCGTTGGAAGCGGGAATTCATACAAATTGCAGACTGCAGCGTTCTGAGAAACATCTTTGTGATGTTTGTATTCAGGACACAGAGATGAACATTCCCTATCATAGAGCACGTTGGAATCACTCCTTTTGTAGTATCTGGAAGTGGACATTTGGAGCGCTTTCAGGCCTATGTTGAAAAAGGAAATATCTTCCCATAACAACTAGACACAAGCATTCTCAGAAACTTATTTGAGATGTGTGTACTCAACTAAGAGAATTGAACCACCGTTTTGAAGGAGCAGTTTTGAAACTCTCTTTTTCTGGAATCTGCAAGTGGATATTTGGCTAGCTTTGGGGATTTCGCTGGAAGCGGGAATACATATAAAAAGCACACAGCAGCGTTCTGAGAAACTGCTTTCTGATGTTTGCATTCAAGTCAAAAGTTGAACACTCCCTTTCATAGAGCAGTCTTGAAACACCCCTTTTGTAGTATCTGGAACTGGACTTTTGGAGCGATTTCAGGGCTAAGGTGAAAAAGGAAATATCTTCCCATAAAAACTGGACAGAAGCATTCTCAGAAACTTGTTTATGCTGTATCTACTCAACTAACAAAGTTGAACCTTTCTTTTGATAGAGCAGTTTTGAAATGGTCTTTTTGTGGAATCTGCAAGTGGATATTTGGCTAGTTTTGAGGATTTCGTTGGAAGCGGGAATTCATACAAATTGCAGACTGCAGCGTTCTGAGAAACATCTTTGTGATGTTTGTATTCAGGACACAGAGTTGAACATTCCCTATCATAGAGCAGGTTGGAATCACTCCTTTTGTAGTATCTGGAAGTGGACATTTGGAGCGCTTTCAGGCCTATGTTGAAAAAGGAAATATCTTCCCATAACAAGTAGACACAAGTATTCTCAGAAACTTGTTTGTGATGTGTGCCCTCTACTGACAGAGTTGAACCTTTCTTTTCATAGAGCAGTTTTGAAACACTCTTTTTGTAGAATCTGCAAGAGGATATTTGCATAGCTTTGAGGATTTCGTGGGAAACGGGATTGTCTTCAGGTAAAATCTAGACAGAAGCATTCTCAGAAACTTCTTTGGGATGTTTGCATTCAAGTCACAGAGTAGAACATTCCCTTTGGTAGAGCAGGTTTGAAACACTCTTTTTGTAGTATCTGAAAGTGGACATTTGGAGCGCTTTCAGGCCCATGTTGGAAAGGGAAATATCTTCCCGTAACAACTAGGCAGAAGCATTCTCAGAAACTTATTTGAGATGTGTGTACTCAACTAAGAGAATTGAACCACCGTTTTGAAGGAGCAGTTTTGAAACACTCTTTTTCTGGAATCTGCAAGAGTATATTTGCCTAGCCTTGAGGATTTCGTTGGAAACGGGATTGTCTTCAGATAAAATCTAGACAGAAGCACTCTCAGAAACTTCTTTGGGATGTTTGCATTCAAGTCACAGAGTAGAACATTCCCTTTGGTAGAGCAGGTTTGAAACACTCTTTTTTTAGTATATGGAAGGACATTTGGAGCGCTTTCAGGCCTACGTTGGAAAAGGAAATATCTTCCCATAACAACTAGACAGAAGCATTCTCAGAAACTAGTTTCTGATGTGTGTCCTCAACTAACACAGTTGAACTTTTCTTTAGACAGAACAGTTTTGAAACACTCTTTTTGTGGAATCTGCAAGTGGATATTTGGCTAGATTTGAGGATTTCGTTGGAAACGGGATTACATATAAAAAGCAGACAGCAGCATTCTCAGAAAGTTCTTTGTGATGATTGCATTCAAGTCACAGAATTGAACATTCCCTTTCACAGAGCAGGTTTGAAACACTCTTTTTGTAGTGTGTGTAAGTGGACATTTGGAGCGCTTTCCGGCCTAAGGTGAAAAAGGACATATCTTCCCATAAAAACTAGACAGAAGCATTCTCAGAAACTTACTCGTGATGTGTGTCCTCAACTAAAGGAGTGGAACCTTTCTATTCATGGAGAAGTTTTGAAACGCTCTTTTTGTGGAATCTCCAAGTGGATATTTGGCTAGTTTTGAGGATTTCGTTGGAAGCGGGAATTCATACAAATTGCAGACTGCAGCGTTCTGAGAAACATCTTTGTGATGTTTGTATTCAAGACACAGAGATGAACATTCCCTATCATAGAGCATGTTGGAATCACTCCTTTTGTAGTATCTGGAAGTGGACATTTGGAGCGCTTTCAGGCCTATGTTGAAAAAGGAAATATCTTCCCATAACAACTAGACACAAGCATTCTCAGAAACTTATTTGAGATGTGTGTACTCAACTAAGAGAATTGAACCACCGTTTTGAAGGAGCAGTTTTGAAACTCTCTTTTTCTGGAATCTGCAAGTGGATATTTGGCTAGCTTTGGGGATTTCGCTGGAAGCGGGAATACATATAAAAAGCACACAGCAGCGTTCTGAGAAACTGCTTTCTGATGTTTGCATTCAAGTCAAAAGTTGAACACTCCCTTTCATAGGGCAGTCCTGAAACACCCCTTTTGTAGTATCTGGAACTGGACTTTTGGAGCGATTTCAGGGCTAAGGTGAAAAAGGAAATATCTTCCCATAAAAACTGGACAGAAGCATTCTCAGAAACTTGTTTATGCTGTATCTACTCAACTAACAAAGTTGAACCTTTCTTTTGATAGAGCAGTTTTGAAATGGTCTTTTTGTGGAATCTGCAAGTGGATATTTGGCTAGTTTTGAGGATTTCGTTGGAAGCGGGAATTCATACAAATTGCAGACTGCAGCGTTCTGAGAAACATCTTTGTGATGTTTGTATTCAGGACACAGAGATGAACATTCCCTATCATAGAGCAGGTTGGAATCACTCCTTTTGTAGTATCTGGAAGTGGACATTTGGAGCGCTTTCAGGGCTATGTTGAAAAAGGAAATATCTTCCCATAACAACTAGACACAAGCATTCTCAGAAACTTGTTTGTGATGTGTGCCCTCTACTGACAGAGTTGAACCTTTCTTTTCATAGAGCAGTTTTGAAACACTCTTTTTGTAGAATCCACAAGAGGATATTTGCATCGCTTTGGGGATTTCGTGGGAAACGAGATTGTCTTCAGGTAAAATCTAGACAGAAGCATTCTCAGAAACTTCTTTGGGATGTTTGCATTCAAGTCACAGAGTAGAACATTCCCTTTGGTAGAGCAGGTTTGAAACACTCTTTTTGTAGTATCTGGAAGTGGACATTTGGAGCGCTTTCAGGCCTATGTTGGAAAGGGAAATATCTTCCCGTAACAACTAGGCAGAAGCATTCTCAGAAACTTATTTGAGATGTGTGTACTCAACTAAGAGAATTGAACCACCGTTTTGAAGGAGCAGTTTTGAAACACTCCTTTTCTGGAATCTGCAAGAGGATATTTGCCTAGCCTTGAGGATTTCGTTGGAAACGGGATTGTCTTCAGATCAAATCTAGACAGAAGCATTCTCAGAAACTTCTTTGGGATGTTTGCATTCAAGTCACAGAGTAGAACATTCCCTTTGGTAGAGCAGGTTTGAAACACTCTTTTTTTAGTATATGGAAGTGGACATTTGGAGCGCTTTCAGGCCTACGTTGGAAAAGGAAATATCTTCCCATAACAACTAGACAGAAGCATTCTCAGAAACTAGTTTCTGATGTGTGTCCTCAACTAACAGAGTTGAACTTTTCTTTAGACAGAACAGTTTTGAAACACTCTTTTTGTGGAATCTGCAAGTGGATATTGGGCTAGATTTGAGGATTTCGTTGGAAACGGGATTACATATAAAAAGCAGACAGCAGCATTCTCAGAAAGTTCTTTGTGATGATTGCATTCAAGTCACAGAATTGAACATTCCCTTTCACAGAGCACGTTTGAAACACTCTTTTTGTAGTGTGTGTAAGTGGACATTTGGAGCGCTTTCCGGCCTAAGGTGAAAAAGGACATATCTTCCCATAAGAACTAGACAGAAGCATTCTCAGAAACTTACTCGTGATGTGTGTCCTCAACTAAAGGAGTAGAACCTTTCTTTTCATAGAGAAGTTTTGAAACGCTCTTTTTGTGGAATCTGCAAGTGGATATTTGGCTAGTTTTGAGGATTTCGTTGGAAGCGGGAATTCATACAAATTGCAGACTGCAGCGTTCTGAGAAACATCTTTGTGATGTTTGTATTCAGGACACAGAGTTGAACATTCCCTATCATAGAGCAGGTTTGAATCACTCCTTTTGTAGTATCTGGAAGTGGACATTTGGAGCGCTTTCAGGCCTATGTTGGAAAAGGAAATATCTTCCCATAACAACCAGACAGAAGCATTCTCAGAAACTTATTTGAGATGTGTGTACTCAACTAAGAGAATTGAACCACCGTTTTGAAGGAGCAGTTTTGAAACTCTCTTTTTCTGGAATCTGCAAGTGGATATTTGGCTAGCTTTGGGGATTTCGCTGGAAGCGGGAATACATATAAAAAGCACACAGCAGCGTTCTGAGAAACTGCTTTCTGATGTTTGCATTCAAGTCAAAAGTTGAACACTCCCTTTCATAGAGCAGTCCTGAAACACCCCTTTTGTAGTATCTGGAACTGGACTTTTGGAGCGATTTCAGGGCTAAGGTGAAAAAGGAAATATCTTCCCATAAAAACTGGACAGAAGCATTCTCAGAAACTTGTTTATGCTGTATCTACTCAACTAACAAAGTTGAACCTTTCTTTTGATAGAGCAGTTTTGAAATGCTCTTTTTGTGGAATCTGCAAGTGGATATTTGGCTAGTTTTGAGGATTTCGTTGGAAGCGGGAATTCATACAAATTTCAGACTGCAGCGTTCTGAGAAACATCTTTGTGATGTTTGTATTCAGGCACACAGAGTTGAACATTCCCTATCATAGAGCAGGTTTGAATCACTCCTTTTGTAGTATCTGGAAGTGGACATTTGGAGCGCTTTCAGGCCTATGTTGGAAAAGGAAATATCTTCCCATAACAACTAGACAGAAGCATTCTCAGAAACTTGTTTGTGATGTGTGCCCTCTACTGACAGAGTTGAACCTTTCTTTTCATAGAGCAGTTTTGAAACACTCTTTTTGTAGAATCTGCAAGAGGATATTTGCATAGCTTTGAGGATTTCGTGGGAAACGGGATTGTCTTCAAGTAAAATCTAGACAGAAGCATTCTCAGAAACTTCTTTGGGATGTTTGCATTCAAGTCACAGAGTAGAACATTCCCTTTGGTAGAGCAGGTTTGAAACCCTCTTTTTGTAGTATCTGGAAGTGGACATTTGGAGCGCTTTCAGGCCCATGTTGGAAAGGGAAATATCTTCCCGTAACAACTAGGCAGAAGCATTCTCAGAAACTTATTTGAGATGTGTGTACTCAACTAAGAGAATTGAACCACCGTTTTGAAGGAGCAGTTTTGAAACACTCTTTTTCTGGAATCTGCAAGAGTATATTTGCCTAGCCTTGAGGATTTCGTTGGAAACGGGATTGTCTTCAGATAAAATCTAGACAGAAGCATTCTCAGAAACTTCTTTGGGATGTTTGCATTCAAGTCACAGAGTAGAACATTCCCTTTGGTAGAGCAGGTTTGAAACACTCTTTTTTTAGTATATGGAAGTGGACATTTGGAGCGCTTTCAGGCCTACGTTGGAAAAGGAAATATCTTCCCATAACAACTAGACAGAAGCATTCTCAGAAACTAGTTTCTGATGTGTGTCCTCAACTAACACAGTTGAACTTTTCTTTAGACAGAACAGTTTTGAAGCACTCTTTTTGTGGAATCTGCAAGTGGATATTTGGCTAGATTTGAGGATTTCGTTGGAAACGGGATTACATATAAAAAGCAGACAGCAGCATTCTCAGAAAGTTCTTTGTGATGATTGCATTCAAGTCACAGAATTGAACATTCCCTTTCACAGAGCAGGTTTGAAACACTCTTTTTGTAGTGTGTGTAAGTGGACATTTGGAGCGCTTTCCGGCCTAAGGTGAAAAAGGACATATCTTCCCATAAAAACTAGACAGAAGCATTCTCAGAAACTTACTCGTGATGTGTTTCCTCAACTAAAGGAGTAGAACCTTTCTATTCATGGAGAAGTTTTGAAACGCTCTTTTTGTGGAATCTCCAAGTGGATATTTGGCTAGTTTTGAGGATTTCGTTGGAAGCGGGAATTCATACAAATTGCAGACTGCAGCGTTCTGAGAAACATCTTTGTGATGTTTGTATTCAGGACACAGAGATGAACATTCCCTATCATAGAGCAGGTTGGAATCACTCCTTTTGTAGTATGTGGAAGTGGACATTTGGAGCGCTTTCAGGCCTATGTTGAAAAAGGAAATATCTTCCCATAACAACTAGACACAAGCATTCTCAGAAACTTGTTTGTGATGTGTGCCCTCTACTGACAGAGTTGAACCTTTCTTTTCATAGAGCAGTTTTGAAACACTCTTTTTGTAGAATCCGCAAGAGGATATTTGCATAGCTTTGAGGATTTCGTGGGAAACGGGATTGTCTTCAGGTAAAATCTAGACAGAAGCATTCTCAGAAACTTCTTTGGGATGTTTGCATTCAAGTCACAGAGTAGAACATTCCCTTTGGTAGAGCAGGTTTGAAACACTCTTTTTGTAGTATCTGGAAGTGGACATTTGGAGCGCTTTCAGGCCTATGTTGGAAAGGGAAATATCTTCCCGTAACAACTAGGCAGAAGCATTCTCAGAAACTTATTTGAGATGTGTGTACTCAACTAAGAGAATTGAACCACCGTTTTGAAGGAGCAGTTTTGAAACACTCTTTTTCTGGAATCTGCAAGAGGATATTTGCCTAGCCTTGAGGATTTCGTTGGAAACGGGATTGTCTTCAGATCAAATCTAGACAGAAGCATTCTCAGAAACTTCTTTGGGATGTTTGCATTCAAGTCACAGAGTAGAACATTCCCTTTGGTAGAGCAGGTTTGAAACACTCTTTTTTTAGTATATGGAAGTGGACATTTGGAGCGCTTTCAGGCCTACGTTGGAAAAGGAAATATCTTCCCATAACAACTAGACAGAAGCATTCTCAGAAACTAGTTTCTGATGTGTGTCCTCAACTAACACAGTTGAACATTTCTTTAGACAGAACAGTTTTGAAACTCTCTTTTTGTGGAATCTGCAAGTGGCTATTTGGCTAGATTTGAGGGATTTCGTTGGAAACGGGATTACATATAAAAAGCAGACAGCAGCATTCTCAGAAAGTTCTTTGTGATGATTGCATTCAAGTCACAGAATTGAACATTCCCTTTCACAGAGCAGGTTTGAAAGACTCTTTTTGTAGTGTGTGTAAGTGGACATTTGGAGCACTTACCGGCCTAAGGTGAAAAAGGAAATATCTTCCCATAAAAACTAGACAGAAGCATTCTCAGAAACTTACTCGTGATGTGTGTCCTCAACTAAAGGAGTAGAACCTTTCTTTTCATAGAGAAGTTTTGAAACGCTCTTTTTGTGGAATCTGCAAGTGGATATTTGGCTAGTTTTGAGGATTTCGTTGGAAGCGGGAATTCATACAAATTGCAGACTGCAGCGTTCTGAGAAACATCTTTGTGATGTTTGTATTCAGGACACAGAGTTGAACATTCCCTATCATAGAGCAGGTTTGAATCACTCCTTTTGTAGTATCTGGAAGTGGACATTTGGAGCGCTTTCAGGCCTATGTTGGAAAAGGAAATATCTTCCCATAACAACTAGACAGAAGCATTCTCAGAAACTTATTTGAGATGTGTGTACTCAACTAAGAGAATTGAACCACCGTTTTGAAGGAGCAGTTTTGAAACACTCTTTTTCTGGAATCTGCAAGTGGATATTTGGCTAGCTTTGGGGATTTCGCTGGAAGCGGGAATACATATAAAAAGCACACAGCAGCGTTCTGAGAAACTGCTTTCTGATGTTTGCATTCAAGTCAAAAGTTGAACACTCCCTTTCATAGAGCAGTCCTGAAACACCCCTTTTGTAGTATCTGGAACTGGACTTTTGGAGCGCTTTCAGGGCTAAGGTGAAAAAGGAAATATTTTCCCATAAAAACTGGACAGAAGCATTCTCAGAAACTTGTTTATGCTGTATCTACTCAACTAACAAAGTTGAACCTTTCTTTTGATAGAGCAGTTTTGAAATGCTCTTTTTGTGGAATCTGCAAGTGGATATTTGGCTAGTTTTGAGGATTTCGCTGGAAGCGGGAATTCATACAAATTGCAGACTGCAGCGTTCTGAGAAACATCTTTGTGATGTTTGTATTCAGGACACAGAGTTGAACATTCCCTATCATAGAGCAGGTTGGAATCACTCCTTTTGTAGTATCTGGAAGTGGACATTTGGAGCGCTTTCAGGCCTATTTTGGAAAGGGAAATATCTTCCCGTAACAACTATGCAGAAGCATTCTCAGAAACTTACTCGTGATGTGTGTCCTCCACTAAATGAGTAGAACCTTTCTTTTCATAGAGAAGTTTTGAAACGCTCTTTTTGTAGAATCTGCAAGAGGATATTTGCATAGCTTTGAAGATTTCGTGGGAAACGGGATTGTCTTCAGGTAAAATCTAGACAGAAGCATTCTCAGAAACTTCTTTGGGATGTTTGCATTCAAGTCACAGAGTAGAACATTCCCTTTGGTAGAGCAGGTTTGAAACACTCTTTTTGTATTATCTGGAAGTGGACATTTGGAGCGCTTTCAGGCCTATGTTGGAAAGGGAAATATCTTCCCGTAACAACTAGGCAGAAGCATTCTCAGAAACTTATTTGAGATGTGTGTACTCAACTAAGAGAATTGAATCACCGTTTTGAAGGAGCAGTTTTGAAACACTCTTTTTCTGGAATCTGCAAGAGGATATTTGCCTAGCCTTGAGGATTTCGTTGGAAACGGGATTGTCTTCAGATCAAATCAAGACAGAAGCATTCTCAGAAACTTCTTTGGGATGTTTGCATTCAAGTCACAGAGTAGAACATTCCCTTTGGTAGAGCAGGTTTGAAACACTCTTTTTTTAGTATATGGAAGTGGACATTTGGAGCGCTTTCAGGCCTACGTTGGAAAAGGAAATATCTTCCCATAACAACTAGACAGAAGCATTCTCAGAAACTAGTTTCTGATGTGTGTCCTCAACTAACACAGTTGTACATTTCTTTAGACAGAACAGTTTTGAAACACTCTTTTTGTGGAATCTGCAAGTGGATATTGGGCTAGATTTGAGGATTTCGTGGGAAACGGGATTACATATAAAAAGCAGTCAGCAGCATTCTCAGAAAGTTCTTTGTGATGATTGCATTCAAGTCACAGAATTGAACATTCCCTTTCACAGAGCAGGTTTGAAACACTCTTTTTGTAGTGTGTGTAAGTGGACATTTGGAGTGCTTTCCGGCCTAAGGTGAAAAAGGACATATCTTCCCATAAAAACTAGACAGAAGCATTCTCAGAAACTTACTCGTGATGTGTGTCCTCAACTAAAGGAGTAGAACCTTTCTATTCATAGAGAAGTTTTGAAACGCTCTTTTTGTGGAATCTCCAAGTGGATATTTGGTTAGTTTTGAGGATTTCGTTGGAAGCGGGAATTCATACAAATTGCAGACTGCAGCGTTCTGAGAAACATCTTTGTGATGTTTGTATTCAGGACACAGAGATGAACATTCCCTATCATAGAGCAGGTTGGAATCACTCCTTTTGTAGTATCTGGAAGTGGACATTTGGAGCGCTTTCAGGCCTATGTTGAAAAAGGAAATATCTTCCCATAACAACTAGACACAAGCATTCTCAGAAACTTATTTGAGATGTGTGTACTCAACTAAGAGAATTGAACCACCGTTTTGAAGGAGCAGTTTTGAAACACTCTTTTTCTGGAATCTGCAAGTGGATATTTGGCTAGCTTTGGGGATTTCGCTGGAAGCGGGAATACATATAAAAAGCACACAGCAGCGTTCTGAGAAACTGCTTTCTGATGTTTGCATTCAAGTCAAAAGTTGAACACTCCCTTTCATAGAGCAGTCTTGAAACACCCCTTTTGTAGTATCTGGAACTGGACTTTTGGAGCGATTTCAGGGCTAAGGTGAAAAAGGAAATATCTTCCCATAAAAACTGGACAGAAGCATTCTCAGAAACTTGGTTATGCTGTATCTACTCAACTAACAAAGTTGAACCTTTCTTTTGATAGAGCAGTTTTGAAATGGTCTTTTTGTGGAATCTGCAAGTGGATATTTGGCTAGTTTTGAGGATTTCGTTGGAAGCGGGAATTCATACAAATTGCAGACTGCAGCGTTCTGAGAAACATCTTTGTGATGTTTGTATTCAGGACAGAGAGTTGAACATTCCCTATCATAGAGCAGGTTGGAATCACTCCTTTTGTAGTATCTGGAAGTGGACATTTGGAGCGCTTTCAGGCCTATTTTGGAAAGGGAAATATCTTCCCGTAACAACTATGCAGAAGCATTCTCAGAAACTTGTTTGTGATGTGTGCCCTCTACTGACAGAGTTGAACCTTTCTTTTCATAGAGCAGTTTTGAAACACTCTTTTTGTAGAATCTGCAAGAGGATATTTGCATAGCTTTGAGGATTTCGTGGGAAACGGGATTGTCTTCAGGTAAAATCTAGACAGAAGCATTCTCAGAAACTTCCTTGGAATGTTTGCATTCAAGTCACAGAGTAGAACATTCCCTTTGGTAGAGCAGGTTTGAAACACTCTTTTTTTAGTATATGGAAGTGGACATTTGGAGCGCTTTCAGGCCTACGTTGGAAAAGGAAATATCTTCCCATAACAACTAGACAGAAGCATTCTCAGAAACTAGTTTCTGATGTGTGTCCTCAACTAACACAGTTGAACATTTCTTTAGACAGAACAGTTTTGAAACACTCTTTTTGTGGTATCTGCAAGTGGCTATTTGGCTAGATTTGAGGATTTCGTTGGAAACGGGATTACATATAAAAAGCAGACAGCAGCATTCTCAGAAACTTCTTTGTGATGATTGCATTCAAGTCACAGTATTGAACATTCCCTTTCACAGAGCAGGTTTGAAACACTCTTTGTATAGTGTGTGTAAGTGGACATTTGGAGCACTTTCCGGCCTAAGGTGAAAAAGGAAATATCTTCCCATAAAAACTGGACAGAAGCATTCTCAGAAACTTGTTCATGCTGTATCTACTCTACTAAAAAAGTTGAACCTTTCTTTTGATAGAGCAGTTTTGAAATGCTCTTTTTGTGGAATCTGCAAGTGGATATTTGGCTAGATTTGAGGATTTCGTTGGAAGCTGGAATACATACAAATTGCAGACTGCAGCATTCTCAGAAACTTATTTGAGATGTGTGTACTCAACTAAGAGAATTGAACCACCGTTTTGAAGGAGCAGTTTTGAAACTCTCTTTTTCTGGAATCTGCAAGTGGATATTTGGCTAGCTTTGGGGATTTCGCTGGAAGCGGGAATACATATAAAAAGCACACAGCAGCGTTCTGAGAAACTGCTTTCTGATGTTTGCATTCAAGTCAAAAGTTGAACACTACCTTTCATAGAGCAGTCCTGAAACACCCCTTTTGTAGTATCTGGAACTGGACTTTTGGAGCGATTTCAGGGCTAAGGTGAAAAAGGAAATATCTTCCCATAAAAACTGGACAGAAGCATTCTCAGAAACTTGTTTATGCTGTATCTACTCAACTAACAAAGTTGAACCTTTCTTTTGATAGAGCAGTTTTGAAATGGTCTTTTTGTGGAATCTGCAAGTGGATATTTGGCTAGTTTTGAGGATTTCGTTGGAAGCGGGAATTCATACAAATTGCAGACTGCAGCGTTCTGAGAAACATCTTTGTGATGTTTGTATTCAGGACACAGAGTTGAACATTCCCTATCATAGAGCAGGTTGGAATCACTCCTTTTGTAGTATCTGGAAGTGGACATTTGGAGCGCTTTCAGGCCTATGTTGAAAAAGGAAATATCTTCCCATAACAACTAGACACAAGCATTCTCAGAAACTTGTTTGTGATGTGTGCCCTCTACTGACAGAGTTGAACCTTTCTTTTCATAGAGCAGTTTTGAAACACTCTTTTTGTAGAATCTGCAAGAGGATATTTGCATAGCTTTGAGGATTTCGTGGGAAACGGGATTGTCTTCAGGTAAAATCTAGACAGAAGCATTCTCAGAAACTTCTTTGGGATGTTTGCATTCAAGTCACAGAGTAGAACATTCCCTTTGGTAGAGCAGGTTTGAAACCCTCTTTTTGTAGTATCTGGAAGTGGAGATTTGGAGCGCTTTCAGGCCCATGTTGGAAAGGGAAATATCTTCCCGTAACAACTAGGCAGAAGCATTCTCAGAAACTTATTTGAGATGTGTGTACTCAACTAAGAGAATTGAACCACCGTTTTCAAGGAGCAGTTTTGAAACACTCTTTTTATGGAATCTGCAAGAGTATATTTGCCTAGCCTTGAGGATTTCGTTGGAAACGGGATTGTCTTCAGATAAAATCTAGACAGAAGCATTCTCAGAAACTTCTTTGGGATGTTTGCACTCAAGTCACAGAGTAGAATATTCCCTTTGGTAGAGCAGGTTTGAAACACTCTTTTTTTAGTATATGGAAGTGGACATTTGGAGCGCTTTCAGGCCTACGTTGGAAAAGGAAATATCTTCCCATAACAACTAGACAGAAGCATTCTCAGAAACTAGTTTCTGATGTGTGTCCTCAACTAACACAGTTGTACATTTCTTTAGACAGAACAGTTTTGAAACACTCTTTTTGTGGAATCTGCAAGTGGATATTGGGCTAGATTTGAGGATTTCGTTGGAAACGGGATTACATATAAAAAGCAGACAGCAGCATTCTCAGAAACTTCTTTGTGATGATTGCATTCAAGTCACAGAATTGAACATTCCCTTTCACAGAGCAGGTTTGAAACACTCTTTTTGTAGTGTGTGTAAGTGGACATTTGGAGCGCTTTCCGGCCTAAGGTGAACAAGGAAATATCTTCCCATAAAAACTAGACAGAAGCATTCTCAGAAACTTACTCGTGATGTGTGTCCTCAACTAAAGGAGTAGAACCTTTCTTTTCATAGAGAAGTTTTGAAACGCTCTTTTTGTGGAATCTGCAAGTGGATATTTGGCTAGTTTGGAGGATTTCGTTGGAAGCGGGAATTCATACAAGATGCAGACTGCAGCGTTCTGAGAAACATCTTTGTGATGTTTGTATTCAGGACACAGAGTTGAACATTCCCTATCATAGAGCAGGTTTGAATCACTCCTTTTGTAGTATCTGGAAGTGGACATTTGGAGCGCTTTCAGGCCTATGTTGGAAAAGGAAATATCTTCCCATAACAACTAGACAGAAGCATTCCCAGAAACTTATTTGAGATGTGTGTACTCAACTAAGAGAATTGAACCACCGTTTTGAAGGAGCAGTTTGAAAACACTCTTTTTCTGGAATCTGCAAGTGGATATTTGGCTAGCTTTGGGGATTTCGCTGTAAGCGGGAATACATATAAAAAGCACACAGAAGCGTTCTGAGAAACTGCTTTCTGATGTTTGCATTCAAGTCAAAACTTGAACACTCCCTTTCATAGAGCAGTCTTGAAACACCCCTTTTGTAGTATCTGGAACTGGAAATTTGGAGCGCTTTCAGGGCTAAGGTGAAAAAGGAAATATCTTCCCATAAAAACTGGACAGAAGCATTCTCAGAAACTTGGTTATGCTGTATCTACTCAACTAACAAAGTTGAACCTTTCTTTTGATAGAGCAGTTTTGAAATGGTCTTTTTGTGGAATCTGCAAGTGGATATTTGGCTAGTTTTGAGGATTTCGTTGGAAGCGGGAATTCATACAAATTGCAGACTGCAGCGTTCTGAGAAACATCTTTGTGATGTTTGTATTCAGGACAGAGAGTTGAACATTCCCTATCATAGAGCAGGTTGGAATCACTCCTTTTGTAGTATCTGGAAGTGGACATTTGGAGCGCTTTCAGGCCTATGTTGAAAAAGGAAATATCTTCCCATAACAACTAGACACAAGCATTCTCAGAAACTTGTTTGTGATGTGTGCCCTCTACTGACAGAGTTGAACCTTTCTTTTCATAGAGCAGTTTTGAAACACTCTTTTTGTAGAATCTGCAAGAGGATATTTGCATAGCTTTGAGGATTTCGTGGGAAACGGGATTGTCTTCAGGTAAAATCTAGACAGAAGCATTCTCAGAAACTTCTTTGGGATGTTTGCATTCAAGTCACAGAGTAGAACATTCCCTTTGGTAGAGCAGGTTTGAAACACTCTTTTTGTAGTATCTGGAAGTGGACATTTGGAGCGCTTTCAGGCCTATGTTGGAAAGGGAAATATCTTCCCGTAACAACTAGGCAGAAGCATTCTCAGAAACTTATTTGAGATGTGTGTATTCAACTAAGAGAATTGAACCACCGTTTTGAAGGAGCAGTTTTGAAACACTCTTTTTCTGGAATCTGCAAGTGGATATTTGGCTAGATTTGAGGATTTCGTTGGAAACGGGATTACATATAAAAAGCAGACAGCAGCAGTCTCAGAAAGTTCTTTTTGATGATTGCATTTAAGTCACAGAATTGAACATTCCCTTTCACAGAGCAGGTATGAAACACTCTTTTTGTAGTGTGTGTAAGTGGACATTTGGAGCGCTTTCCGGCCTAAGGTGAAAAAGGAAATATCTTCCCATAAAAACTAGACAGAAAGCATTCTCAGAAACTTACTCGTGATGTGTGTACTCAACTAAAGGAGTAGAAACTTTCTTTTCATAGAGAAGTTTTGAAACGCTCTTTTTGTGGAATCTGCAGGTGGATATTTGGCTAGTTTTGAGGATTACGTTGGAAACGGGAATTCATACAAATTGCAGACTGCAGCGTTCTGAGAAACATCTTTGTGATGTTTGTATTCAGGACACAGAGTTGAACATTCCCTATCATAGAGCAGGTTGGAATCACTCCTTTTGTAGTATCTGGAAGTGGACATTTGGAGCGCTTTCAGGCCTATGTTGGAAAAGGAAATATCTTCCCATAACAACTAGACAGAAGCATTCTCAGAAACTTATTTGAGATGTGTGTACTCAACTAAGAGAATTGAACCACCGTTTTGAAGGAGCAGTTTTGAAACACTCTTTTTCTGGAATCTGCAAGTGGATATTTGGCTAGCTTTGGGGATTTCGCTGGAAGCGGGAATACATATAAAAAGCACACAGCAGCGTTCTGAGAAACTGCTTTCTGATGTTTGCATTCAAGTCAAAAGTTGAACACTCCCTTTCATAGAGCAGTCTTGAAACACCCCTTTTGTAGTATCTGGAACTGGACATTTGGAGCGCTTTCAGGGCTAAGGTGAAAAAGGAAATTCCTTCCCATAAAAACTGGACAGAAGCATTCTCAGAAACTTGTTTATGCTGTATCTACTCAACTAACAAAGTTGAACCTTTCTTTTGATAGAGCAGTTTTGAAATGCTCTTTTTGTGGAATCTGCAAGTGGATATTTGGCTAGGTTTGAGGATTTCGTTGGAAGCGGGAATTCATACAAATTGCAGACTGCAGCGTTCTGAGAAACATCTTTGTGATGTTTGTATTCAGGACACAGAGTTGAACATTCCCTATCATAGAGCAGGTTGGAATCACTCCTTTTGTAGTATCTGGAAGTGGACATTTGGAGCGCTTTCAGGCCTATTTTGGAAAGGGAAATATCTTCCCGTAACAACTATGCAGAAGCATTCTCAGAAACTTGTTTGTGATGTGTGCCCTCTACTGACAGAGTTGAACCTTTCTTTTCATAGAGCAGTTTTGAAACACTCTTTTTGTAGAATCTGCAAGAGGATATTTGCATAGCTTTGAGGATTTCGTGGGAAACGGGATTGTCTTCAGGTAAAATCTAGACAGAAGCATTCTCAGAAACTTCTTTGGGATGTTTGCATTCAAGTCACAGAGCAGAACATTCCCTTTGGTAGAGCAGGTTTGAAACACACTTTTTGTAGTATCTGGAAGTGGACATTTGGAGCGCTTTCAGGCCTATGTTGGAAAGGGAAATATCTTCCCGTAACAACTAGGCAGAAGCACTCTCAGAAACTTATTTGAGATGTGTGTACTCAACTAAGAGAATTGAACCACCGTTTTGAAGGAGCAGTTTTGAAACACTCTTTTTCTGGAATCTGCAAGAGGATATTTGCCTAGCCTTGAGGATTTCGTTGGAAACGGGATTGTCTTCAGATCAAATCTAGACAGAAGCATTCTCAGAAACTTCTTTGGGATGTTTGCATTCATGTCACAGAGTAGAACATTCCCTTTGGTAGAGCAGGTTTGAAACACTCTTTTTTAAGTATATGGAAGTGGACATTTGGAGCGCTTTCAGGCCTACGTTGTAAAAGGAAATATCTTCCCATAACAACTAGACAGAAGCATTCTCAGAAACTAGTTTCTGATGTGTGTCCTCAACTAACACAGTTGAACATTTCTTTAGACAGAACAGTTTTGAAACACTCTTTTTGTGGAATCTGCAAGTGGCTATTTGGCTAGATTTGAGGATTTCGTTGGAAACGGGATTACATATAAAAAGCAGACAGCAGCATTCTCAGAAAGTTCTTTGTGATGATTGCATTCAAGTCACAGAATTGAACATTCCCTTTCACAGAGCAGGTTTGAAACACTCTTTTTGTAGTGTGTGTAAGTGGACATTTGGAGCACTTTCCGGCCTAAGGTGAAAAAGGAAATATCTTCCCTTAAAAACTAGACAGAAGCATTCTCAGAAACTTACTCGTGATGTGTGTCCTCAACTAAAGGAGTAGAACCTTTCTTTTCATAGAGAAGTTTTGAAACGCTCTTTTTGTGGAATCTGCAAGTGGATATTTGGCTAGTTTTGAGGATTTCGTTGGAAGCGGGAATTCATACAAATTGCAGACTGCAGCGTTCTGAGAAACATCTTTGTGATGTTTGTATTCAGGACACAGAGTTGAACATTCCCTATCATAGAGCAGGTTGGAATCACTCCTTTTGTAGTATCTGGAAGTGGACATTTGGAGCGCTTTCAGGCCTATGTTGGAAAAGGAAATATCTTCCCATAACAACTAGACAGAAGCATTCTCAGAAACTTATTTGAGATGTGTGTACTCAACTAAGAGAATTGAACCACCGTTTTGAAGGAGCAGTTTTGAAACTCTCTTTTTCTGGAATCTGCAAGTGGATATTTGGCTAGCTTTGGGGATTTCGCTGGAAGCGGGAATACATATAAAAAGCACACAGCAGCGTTCTGAGAAACTGCTTTCTGATGTTTGCATTCAAGTCAAAAGTTGAACACTCCCTTTCATAGAGCAGTCCTGAAACACCCCTTTTGTAGTATCTGGAACTGGACTTTTGGAGCGATTTCAGGGCTAAGGTGAAAAAGGAAATATCTTCCCATAAAAACTGGACAGAAGCATTCTCAGAAACTTGTTTATGCTGTATCTACTCTACTAAAAAAGTTGAACCTTTCTTTTGATAGAGCAGTTTTGAAATGCTCTTTTTGTGGAATCTGCAAGTGGATATTTGGCTAGATTTGAGGATTTCGTTGGAAGCTGGAATACATACAAATTGCAGACTGCAGCGTTCTGAGAAACATCTTTGTGATGTTTGTATTCAGGACACAGAGTTGAACATTCCCTATCATAGAGCAGGTTGGAATCACTCCTTTTGTAGTATCTGGAAGTGGACATTTGGAGCGCTTTCAGGCCTATGTTGAAAAAGGAAATATCTTCCCATAACAACTAGACACAAGCATTCTCAGAAACTTGTTTGTGATGTGTGCCCTCTACTGACAGAGTTGAACCTTTCTTTTCATAGAGCAGTTTTGAAACACTCTTTTTGTAGAATCTGCAAGAGGATATTTGCATAGCTTTGAGGATTTCGTGGGAAACGGGATTGTCTTCAGGTAAAATCTAGACAGAAGCATTCTCAGAAACTTCTTTGGGATGTTTGCATTCAAGTCACAGAGTAGAACATTCCCTTTGGTGGAGCAGGTTTCAAACACTCTTTTTGTAGTATCTGGAAGTGGACATTTGAAGCGCTTTCAGGCCTATGTTGGAAAGGGAAATATCTTCCCGTAACAACTAGGCAGAAGCATTCTCAGAAACTTATTTGAGATGTGTGTACTCAACTAAGAGAATTGAACCACCGTTTTGAAGGCGCAGTTTTGAAACACTCTTTTTCTGGAATCTGCAAGAGTATATTTGCCTAGCCTTGACGATTTCGTTGGAAACGTGGTTGTCTTCAGATAAAATCTAGACAGAAGCATTCTCAGAAACTTCTTTGGGATGTTTGCATTCAAGTCACAGAGTAGAACATTCCCTTTGGTAGAGCAGGTTTGAAACACTCTTTTTTTAGTATCTGGAAGTGGACATTTGGAGCGCTTTCAGGCCTACGTTGGAAAAGGAAATATCTTCCCATAACGACTAGACAGAAGCATTCTCAGAAACTAGTTTCTGATGTGTGTCCTCAACTAACACAGTTGAACATTTCCTTAGACAGAACAGTTTTGAAACACTCTTTTTGTGGAATCTGCAAGTGGCTATTTGGCTAGATTTGAGGATTTCTTTGGAAACGGGATTACATATAAAAAGCAGTCAGCAGCATTCTCAGAAAGTTCTTTGTGATGATTGCATTCAAGTCACAGAATTGAACATTCCCTTTCACAGAGCAGGTTTGAAACCCTCTTTTTGTAGTGTGTGTAAGTGGACATTTGGAGCGCTTTCCGGCCTAAGGTGAAAAAGGAAATATCTTCCCATAAAAACTAGACAGAAGCATTCTCAGAAACTTACTCGTGATGTGTGTCCTCAACTAAAGGAGTAGAACATTTCTATTCATAGAGAAGTTTTGAAACGCTCTTTTTGTGGAATCTCCAAGTGGATATTTGGTTAGTTTTGAGGATTTCGTTGGAAGCGGGAATTCATACAAATTGCAGACTGCAGCGTTCTGAGAATCATCTTTGTGATGTTTGTATTCAGGACACAGAGATGAACATTCCCTATCATAGAGTAGGTTGGAATCAGTCCTTTTGTAGTATCTGGAAGTGGACATTTGGAGCGCTTTCAGTCCTATGTTGAAAAAAGAAATATCTTCCCATAACAACTAGACACAAGCATTCTCAGAAACTTGTTTGTGATGTGTGCCCTCTACTGACAGAGTTGAACCTTTCTTTTCATAGAGCAGTTTTGAAACACTCTTTTTGTAGAATCTGCAAGAGGATATTTGCATAGCTTTGAGGATTCCGTGGGAAACGGGATTGTCTTCAGGTAAAATCTAGACAGAAGCATTCTCAGAAACTTCTTCGGGATGTTTGCATTCAAGTCACAGAGTAGAACATTCCCTTTGGTAGAGCAGGTTTGAAACACTCTTTTTGTCGTATCTGGAAGTGGACATTTGTTGCGCTTTCAGGCCTATGTTGGAAAGGGAAATATCTTCCCGTAACAACTAGGCAGAAGCATTCTCAGAAACTTATTTGAGATGTGTGTACTCAACTAAGAGAATTGAACCACCGTTTTGAAGGAGCAGTTTGGAAACACTCTTTTTCTGGAATCTGCAAGAGGATATTTGCCTAGCTTTGAGGATTTCGTTGGAAAAGGGATTGTCTTCAGATCAAATCTAGACAGAAGCATTCTCAGAAACTTCTTTGGGATGTTTGCATTCAAGTCACAGAGTAGAACATTCCTTTGGTAGAGCAGGTTTGAAACACTCTTTTTTTAGTATATGGAAGTGGACATTTGGAGCGCTTTCAGGCCTACGTTGGAAAAGGAAATATCTTCCCATAACAACTAGACAGAAGCATTCTCAGAAACTAGTTTCTGATGTGTGTCCTCAACTAACACAGTTGAACATTTCTTTAGACAGAACAGTTTTGAAACACTCTTTTTGTGGAATCTGCAAGTGGCTATTTGGCTAGATTTGAGGATTTCGTTGGAAACGGGATTACATATAAAAAGCAGACAGCAGCATTCTCAGAAACTTCTTTGTGATGATTGCATTCAAGTCACAGAATTGAACATTCCCTTTCACAGAGCAGGTTTGAAACACTCTTTTTGTAGTGTGTGTAAGTGGACATTTGGAGCGCTTTCCGGCCTAAGGTGAACAAGGAAATATCTTCCCATAAAAACTAGACAGAAGCATTCTCAGAAACTTACTCGTGATGTGTGTCCTCAACTAAAGGAGTAGAACCTTTCTTTTCATAGAGAAGTTTTGAAACGCTCTTTTTGTGGAATCTGCAAGTGGATATTTGGCTAGTTTGGAGGATTTCGTTGGAAGCGGGAATTCATACAAATTGCAGACTGCAGCGTTCTGAGAAACATCTTTGTGATGTTTGTATTCAGGACACAGAGTTGAACATTCCCTATCATAGAGCAGGTTGGAATCACTCCTTTTGTAGTATCTGGAAGTGGACATTTGGAGCGCTTTCAGGCCTATGTTGGAAAAGGAAATATCTTCCCATAACAACTAGACAGAAGCATTCTCAGAAACTTATTTGAGATGTGTGTACTCAACTAAGAGAATTGAACCACCGTTTTGAAGGAGCAGTTTTGAAACACTCTTTTTCTGGAATCTGCAAGTGGATATTTGGCTAGCTTTGGGGATTTCGCTGGAAGCGGGAATACATATAAAAAGCACACAGCAGCGTTCTGAGAAACTGCTTTCTGATGTTTGCATTCAAGTCAAAAGTTGAACACTCCCTTTCATAGAGCAGTCTTGAAACACCCCTTTTGTAGTATCTGGAACTGGACTTTTGGAGCGATTTCAGGGCTAAGGTGAAAAAGGAAATATCTTCCCATAAAAACTGGACAGAAGCATTCTCAGAAACTTGTTTATGCTGTATCTACTCAACTAACAAAGTTGAACCTTTCTTTTGATAGAGCAGTTTTGAAATGGTCTTTTTGTGGAATCTGCAAGTGGATATTTGGCTAGTTTTGAGGATTTCGTTGGAAGCGGGAATTCATACAAATTGCAGACTGCAGCGTTCTGAGAAACATCTTTGTGATGTTTGTATTCAGGACACAGAGTTGAACATTCCCTATCATAGAGCAGGTTGGAATCACTCCTTTTGTAGTATCTGGAAGTGGACATTTGGAGCGCTTTCAGGCCTATGTTGAAAAAGGAAATATCTTCCCATAACAAGTAGACACAAGCATTCTCAGAAACTTGTTTGTGATGTGTGCCCTCTACTGACAGAGTTGAACCTTTCTTTTCATAGAGCAGTTTTGAAACACTCTTTTTGTAGAATCCGCAAGAGGATATTTGCATAGCTTTGAGGATTTCGTGGGAAACGGGATTGTCTTCAGGTAAAATCTAGACAGAAGCATTCTCAGAAACTTCTTTGGGATGTTTGCATTCAAGTCACAGAGTAGAACATTCCCTTTGGTAGAGCAGGTTTGAAACACTCTTTTTGTAGTATCTGGAAGTGGACATTTGGAGCGCTTTCAGGCCCATGTTGGAAAGGGAAATATCTTCCCGTAACAACTAGGCAGAAGCATTCTCAGAAACTTATTTGAGATGTGTGTACTCAACTAAGAGAATTGAACCACCGTTTTGAAGGAGCAGTTTTGAAACACTCTTTTTCTGGAATCTGCAAGAGTATATTTGCCTAGCCTTGAGGATTTCGTTGGAAACGGGATTGTCTTCAGATAAAATCTAGACAGAAGCATTCTCAGAAACTTCTTTGGGATGTTTGCATTCAAGTCACAGAGTAGAACATTCCCTTTGGTAGAGCAGGTTTGAAACACCCTTTTTTTAGTATATGGAAGTGGACATTTGGAGCGCTTTCAGGCCTACGTTGGAAAAGGAAATATCTTCCCATAACAACTAGACAGAAGCATTCTCAGAAACTAGTTTCTGATGTGTGTCCTCAACTAACACAGTTGTACATTTCTTTAGACAGAACAGTTTTGAAACACTCTTTTTGTGGAATCTGCAAGTGGATATTGGGCTAGATTTGAGGATTTCGTTGGAAACGGGATTACATATAAAAAGCAGTCAGCAGCATTCTCAGAAAGTTCTTTGTGATGATTGCATTCAAGTCACAGAATTGAACATTCCCTTTCACAGAGCAGGTTTGAAACACTCTTTTTGTAGTGTGTGTAAGTGGACATTTGGAGCGCTTTCCGGCCTAAGGTGAAAAAGGACATATCTTCCCATAAAAACTAGACAGAAGCATTCTCAGAAACTTACTCGTGATGTGTGTCCTCAACTAAAGGAGTAGAACCTTTCTATTCATAGAGAAGTTTTGAAACCCTCTTTTTGTGGAATCTCCAAGTGGATATTTGGCTAGTTTTGAGGATTTCGTTGGAAGCGGGAATTCATACAAATTGCAGACTGCAGCGTTCAGAGAAACATCTTTGTGATGTTTGTATTCAAGACACAGAGATGAACATTCCCTATCATAGAGCATGTTGGAATCACTCCTTTTGTAGTATCTGGAAGTGGACATTTGGAGCGCTTTCAGGCCTATGTTGAAAAAGGAAATATCTTCCCATAACAACTAGACACAAGCATTCTCAGAAACTTGTTTGTGATGTGTGCCCTCTACTGACAGAGTTGAACCTTTCTTTTCATAGAGCAGTTTTGAAACACTCTTTTTGTAGAATCCGCAAGAGGATATTTGCATAGCTTTGAGGATTTCGTGGGAAACGGGATTGTCTTCAGGTAAAATCTAGACAGAAGCATTCTCAGAAACTTCTTTGGGATGTTTGCATTCAAGTCACAGAGTAGAACATTCCCTTTGGTAGAGCAGGTTTGAAACACTCTTTTTGTAGTATCTGGAAGTGGACATTTGGAGCGCTTTCAGGCCCATGTTGGAAAGGGAAATATCTTCCCGTAACAACTAGGCAGAAGCATTCTCAGAAACTTATTTGAGATGTGTGTACTCAACTAAGAGAATTGAACCACCGTTTTGAAGGAGCAGTTTTGAAACACTCTTTTTCTGGAATCTGCAAGAGTATATCTTCCTAGCTTTGTGGATTTCGTTGGAAACGGGATTGTCTTCAGATAAAATCTAGACAGAAGCATTCTCAGAAACTTCTTTGGGATGTTTGCATTCAAGTCACAGAGTAGAACATTCCCTTTGGTAGAGCAGGTTTGAAACACTCTTTTTTTAGTATATGGAAGTGGACATTTGGAGCGCTTTCAGGCCTACGTTGGAAAAGGAAATATCTTCCCATAACAACTAGACAGAAGCATTCTCAGAAACTAGTTTCTGATGTGTGTCCTCAACTACCACAGTTGAACATTTCTTTAGACAGAACAGTTTTGAAACACTCTTTTTGTGGAATCTGCAAGTGGCTATTTGGCTAGATTTGAGGATTTCGTTGGAAACGGGATTACATATAAAAAGCAGACAGCAGCATTCTCAGAAAGTTCTTTGTGATGATTGCATTCAAGTCACAGAATTGAACATTCCCTTTCACAGAGCAGGTTTGAAACACTCTTTTTATAGTGTGTGTAAGTGGACATTTGGAGCACTTTCCGGCCTAAGGTGAAAAAGGAAATATCTTCCCATAAAAACTAGACAGAAGCATTCTCAGAAACTTACTCGTGATGTGTGTCCTCAACTAAAGGAGTAGAACCTTTCTTTTCATAGAGAAGTTTTGAAACGCTCTTTTTGTGGAATCTGCAAGTGGATATTTGGCTAGTTTGGAGGATTTCGTTGGAAGCGGGAATTCATACAAATTGCAGACTGCAGCGTTCTGAGAAACATCTTTGTGATGTTTGTATTCAGGACACAGAGTTGAACATTCCCTATCATAGAGCAGGTTGGAATCACTCCTTTTGTAGTATCTGGAAGTGGACATTTGGAGCGCTTTCAGGCCTATGTTGGAAAAGGAAATATCTTCCCATAACAACTAGACAGAAGCATTCTCAGAAACTTATTTGAGATGTGTGTACTCAACTAAGAGAATTGAACCACCGTTTTGAAGGAGCAGTTTTGAAACTCTCTTTTTCTGGAATCTGCAAGTGGATATTTGGCTAGCTTTGGGGATTTCGCTGGAAGCGGGAATACATATAAAAAGCACACAGCAGCGTTCTGAGAAACTGCTTTCTGATGTTTGCATTCAAGTCAAAAGTTGAACACTCCCTTTCATAGAGCAGTCTTGAAACACCCCTTTTGTAGTATCTGGAACTGGACTTTTGGAGCGATTTCAGGGCTAAGGTGAAAAAGGAAATATCTTCCCATAAAAACTGGACAGAAGCATTCTCAGAAACTTGTTTATGCTGTATCTACTCAACTAACAAAGTTGAACCTTTCTTTTGATAGAGCAGTTTTGAAATGGTCTTTTTGTGGAATCTGCAAGTGGATATTTGGCTAGTTTTGAGGATTTCGTTGGAAGCGGGAATTCATACAAATTGCAGACTGCAGCGTTCTGAGAAACATCTTTGTGATGTTTGTATTCAGGACACAGAGTTGAACATTCCCTATCATAGAGCAGGTTGGAATCACTCCTTTTGTAGTATCTGGAAGTGGACATTTGGAGCGCTTTCAGGCCTATTTTGGAAAGGGAAATATCTTCCCGTAACAACTATGCAGAAGCATTCTCAGAAACTTGTTTGTGATGTGTGCCCTCTACTGACAGAGTTGAACCTTTCTTTTCATAGAGTAGTTTTGAAACACTCTTTTTGTAGAATCCGCAAGAGGATATTTGCATAGCTTTGAGGATTTCGTGGGAAACGGGATTGTCTTCAGGTAAAATCTAGACAGAAGCATTCTCAGAAACTTCTGTGGGATGTTTGCATTCAAGTCACAGAGTAGAACATTCCCTTTGGTAGAGCAGGTTTGAAACACTCTTTTTGTAGTATCTGGAAGTGGACATTTGGAGCGCTTTCAGGACCATGTTGGAAAGGGAAATATCTTCCCGTAACAACTAGGCAGAAGCATTCTCAGAAACTTATTTGAGATGTGTGTACTCAACTAAGAGAATTGAACCACCGTTTTGAAGGAGCAGTTTTGAAACACTCTTTTTCTGGAATCTGCAAGAGAATATTTGCCTAGACTTGAGGATTTCGTTGGAAACGGGATTGTCTTCAGATAAAATCTAGACAGAAGCATTCTCAGAAACTTCTTTGGGATGTTTGCATTCAAGTCACAGAGTAGAACATTCCCTTTGGTAGAGCAGGTTTGAAACACTCTTTTTTTAGTATATGGAATTGGACATTTGGAGCGCTTTCAGGCCTACGTTGGAAAAGGAAATATCTTCCCATAACAACTAGACAGAAGCATTCTCAGCAAACTAGTTTCTGATGTGTGTCCTCAACTAACACAGTTGAACATTTCTTTAGACAGAACAGTTTTGAAACACTCTTTTTGTGGAATCTGCAAGTGGCTATTTGGCTAGATTTGAGGATTTCGTTGGAAACGGGATTACATATAAAAAGCAGTCAGCAGCATTCTCAGAAAGTTCTTTGTGATGATTGCATTCAAGTCACAGAATTGAACATTCCCTTTCACAGAGCAGGTTTGAAACAATCTTTTTGTAGTGTGTGTAAGTGGACATTTGGAGCACTTACCGGCCTAAGGTGAAAAAGGAAATATCTTCCCATAAAAACTAGACAGAAGCATTCTCAGAAACTTACTCGTGATGTGTGTCCTCAACTAAAGGAGTAGAACCTTTCTTTTCATAGAGAAGTTTTGAAACGCTCTTTTTGTGGAATCTGCAAGTGGATATTTGGCTAGTTTTGAGGATTTCGTTGGAAGCGGGAATTCATACAAATTGCAGACTGCAGCGTTCTGAGAAACATCTTTGTGATGTTTGTATTCAGGACACAGAGTTGAACATTCCCTATCATAGAGCAGGTTGGAATCACTCCTTTTGTAGTATCTGGAAGTGGACATTTGGAGCGCTTTCAGGCCTATGTTGAAAAAGGAAATATCTTCCCATAACAACTAGACACAAGCATTCCCAGAAACTTATTTGAGATGTGTGTACTCAACTAAGAGAATTGAACCACCGTTTTGAAGGAGCAGTTTGGAAACACTCTTTTTCTGGAATCTGCAAGTGGATATTTGGCTAGCTTTGGGGATTTCGCTGGAAGCGGGAATACATATAAAAAGCACACAGCAGCGTTCTGAGAAACTGCTTTCTGATGTTTGCATTCAAGTCAAAAGTTGAACACTCCCTTTCATAGAGCAGTCTTGAAACACCCCTTTTGTAGTATCTGGAACTGGACATTTGGAGCGCCTTCAGGGCTAAGGTGAAAAAGGAAATATCTTCCCATAAAAACTGGACAGAAGCATTCTCAGAAACTTGTTTATGCTGTATCTACTCAACTAACAAAGTTGAACCTTTCTTTTGATAGAGCAGTTTTGAAATGGTCTTTTTGTGGAATCTGCAAGTGGATATTTGGCTAGTTTTGAGGATTTCGTTGGAAGCGGGAATTCATACAAATTGCAGACTGCAGCGTTCTGAGAAACATCTTTGTGATGTTTGTATTCAGGACACAGAGTTGAACATTCCCTATCATAGAGCAGGTTGGAATCACTCCTTTTGTAGTATCTGGAAGTGGACATTTGGAGCGCTTTCAGGCCTATGTTGGAAAAGGAAATATCTTCCCATAACAACTAGACAGAAGCATTCTCAGAAACTTATTTGAGATGTGTGTACTCAACTAAGAGAATTGAACCACCGTTTTGAAGGAGCAGTTTTGAAACACTCTTTTTCTGGAATCTGCAAGTGGATATTTGGCTAGCTTTGGGGATTTCGCTGGAAGCGGGAATACATATAAAAAGCACACAGCAGCGTTCTGAGAAACTGCTTTCTGATGTTTGCATTCAAGTCAAAAGTTGAACACTCCCTTTCATAGAGCAGTCCTGAAACACCCCTTTTGTAGTATCTGGAACTGGACTTTTGGAGCGATTTCAGGGCTAAGGTGAAAAAGGAAATATCTTCCCATAAAAACTGGACAGAAGCATTCTCAGAAACTTGGTTATGCTGTATCTACTCAACTAACAAAGTTGAACCTTTCTTTTGATAGAGCAGTTTTGAAATGGTCTTTTTGTGGAATCTGCAAGTGGATATTTGGCTAGTTTTGAGGATTTCGTTGGAAGCGGGAATTCATACAAATTGCAGACTGCAGCGTTCTGAGAAACATCTTTGTGATGTTTGTATTCAGGACACAGAGTTGAACATTCCCTATCATAGAGCAGGTTGGAATCACTCCTTTTGTAGTATCTGGAAGTGGACATTTGGAGCGCTTTCAGGCCTATGTTGGAAAAGGAAATATCTTCCCATAACAACTAGACAGAAGCATTCTCAGAAACTTATTTGAGATGTGTGTACTCAACTAAGAGAATTGAACCACCGTTTTGAAGGAGCAGTTTTGAAACACTCTTTTTCTGGAATCTGCAAGTGGATATTTGGCTAGCTTTGGGGATTTCGCTGGAAGCGGGAATACATATAAAAAGCACACAGCAGCGTTCTGAGAAACTGCTTTCTGATGTTTGCATTCAAGTCAAAAGTTGAACACTCCCTTTCATAGAGCAGTCTTGAAACACCCCTTTTGTAGTATCGGGAACTGGACATTTGGAGCGCTTTCAGGGCTAAGGTGAAAAAGGAAATATCTTCCCATAAAAACTGGACAGAAGCATTCTCAGAAACTTGTTTATGCTGTATCTACTCAACTAACAAAGTTGAACCTTTCTTTTGATAGAGCAGTTTTGAAATGCTCTTTTTGTGCAATCTGCAAGTGGATATTTGGCTAGTTTTGAGGATTTCGTTGGAAGCGGGAATTCATACAAATTGCAGACTGCAGCGTTCTGAGAAACATCTTTGTGATGTTTGTATTCAGGACACAGAGTTGAACATTCCCTATCATAGAGCAGGTTGGAATCACTCCTTTTGTAGTATCTGGAAGTGGACATTTCTAGCGCTTTCAGGCCTATGTTGAAAAAGGAAATATCTTCCCATAACAACTAGGCAGAAGCATTCTCAGAAACTTGTTTGTGATGTGTGCCCTCTACTGACACAGTTGAACCTTTCTTTTCATAGAGCAGTTTCGAAACACTCTTTTTGTAGAATCTGCAAGAGGATATTTGCATAGCTTTGAGGATTTCGTGGGAAACGGGATTGTCTTCAGGTAAAATCTAGACAGAAGCATTCTCAGAAACTTCTTTGGGATGTTTGCATTCAAGTCACAGAGTAGAACATTCCCTTTGGTAGAGCAGGTTTGAAACACTCTTTTTGTAGTGTGTGTAAGTGGACATTTGGAGCGCTTTCTGGCCTACGTTGGAAAAGGAAATATCTTCCCATAACAACTAGACAGAAGCATTCTCAGAAACTAGTTTCTGATGTGTGTCCTCAACTAACACAGTTGAACATTTCTTTAGACAGAACAGTTTTGAAACACTCTTTTTGTGGAATCTGCAAGTGGATATTTGGCTACATTTGAGGATTTCGTTGGAAACGGGATTACATATAAAAAGCAGACAGCGGCATTCTCAGAAAGTTCTTTGTGATGATTGCATTCAAGTCACAGAATTGAACATTCCCTTTCACAGAGCAGGTTTGAAACACTCTTTTTGTAGTGTGTGTAAGCGGACATTTGCAGCGCTTTCCGGCCTAAGGTGAAAAAGGAAATATCTTCCCATAAAAACTAGACAGAAGCATTCTCAGAAACTTACTCGTGATGTGTGTACTCAACTAAAGGAGTAGAAACTTTCTTTTCATAGAGAAGTTTTGAAACGCTCTTTTTGTGGAATCTGCAGGTGGACATTTGGCTAGTTTTGAGGATTACGTTGGAAGCGGGAATTCATACAAATTGCAGACTGCAGCGTTCTGAGAAACATCTTTGTGATGTTTGTATTCAGGACACAGAGTTGAACGTTCCCTATCATAGAGCAGGTTTGAATCACTCCTTTTGTAGTATCTGGAAGTGGACATTTGGAGCGCTTTCCGGCCTCAGGTGAAAAAGGAAATATCTTCCCATAAAAACTAGACAGAAGCATTCTCAGAAACTTATTTGAGATGTGTGTACTCAACTAAGAGAATTGAACCACCGTTTTGAAGGAGCAGTTTTGAAACACTCTTTTTCTGGAATCTGCAAGTGGATATTTGGCTAGCTTTGGGGATTTCGCTGGAAGCGGGAATACATATAAAAAGCACACAGCAGCGTTCTGAGAAACTGCTTTCTGATGTTTGCATTCAAGTCAAAAGTTGAACACTCCCTTTCATAGAGCAGTCTTGAAACACCCCTTTTGTAGTATCTGGAACTGGACTTTTGGAGCGATTTCAGGGCTAAGGTGAAAAAGGAAATATCTTCCCATAAAAACTGGACAGAAGCATTCTCAGAAACTTGTTTATGCTGTATCTACTCAACTAACAAAGTTGAACCTTTCTTTTGATAGAGCAGTTTTGAAATGGTCTTTTTGTGGAATCTGCAAGTGGATATTTGGCTAGTTTTGAGGATTTCGTTGGAAGCGGGAATTCATACAAATTGCAGACTGCAGCGTTCTGAGAAACACCTTTGTGATGTTTGTATTCAAGACACAGAGATGAACATTCCCTATCATAGAGCAGGTTGGAATCACTCCTTTTGTAGTATCTGGAAGTGGACATTTGGAGGGCTTTCAGGCCTATGTTGAAAAAGGAAATATCTTCCCATAACAACTAGACACAAGCATTCTCAGAAACTTGTTTGTGATGTGTGCCCTCTACTGACAGAGTTGAACCTTTCTTTTCATAGAGCAGTTTTGAAACACTCTTTTTGTAGAATCTGCAAGAGGATATTTGCATAGCTTTGAGGATTTCGTGGGAAACGGGATTGTCTTCAGGTAAAATCTAGACAGAAGCATTCTCAGAAACTTCTTTGGGATGTTTGCATTCAAGTCACAGAGTAGAACATTCCCTTTGGTAGAGCAGGTTTGAAACACTCTTTTTTTAGTATCTGGAAGTGGACATTTGGAGCGCTTTCAGGCCTATGTTGGAAAGGGAAATATCTTCCCGTAACAACTAGGCAGAAGCATTCTCAGAAACTTATTGGAGATGTGTGTACTCAACTAAGAGAATTGAACCACCGTTTTGAAGGAGCAGTTTTGAAACACTCTTTTTCTGGAATCTGCAAGAGGATATTTGCCTAGCTTTGAGGATTTCGTTGGAAACGGGATTGTCTTCAGATCAAATCTAGACAGAAGCATTCTCAGAAACTTCTTTGGGATGTTTGCATTCAAGTCACAGAGTAGAACATTCCCTTTGGTAGAGCAGGTTTGAAACACTCTTTTTTTAGTATATGGAAGTGGACATTTGGAGCGCTTTCAGGCCTACGTTGGAAAAGGAAATATCTTCCCATAACAACTAGACAGAAGCATTCTCAGAAACTAGTTTCTGATGTGTGTCCTCAACTAACACAGTTGAACATTTCTTTAGACAGAACAGTTTTGAAACACTCTCTTTGTGGAATCTGCAAGTGGATATTTGGCTAGATTTGAGGATTTCGTTGGAAACGGGATTACATATAAAAAGCAGACAGCAGCATTCTCAGAAAGTTCTTTGTGATGATTGCATTCAAGTCACAGAATTGAACATTCCCTTTCACAGAGCAGGTTTGAAACACTCTTTTTGTAGTGTGTGTAAGTGGACATTTGGAGCACTTACCGGCCTAAGGTGAAAAAGGAAATATCTTCCCATAAAAACTAGACAGAAGCATTCTCAGAAACTTACTCGTGATGTGTGTCCTCAACTAAAGGAGTAGAACCTTTGTTTACATAGAGAAGTTTTGAAACGCTCTTTTTGTGGAATCTGCAAGTGGATATTTGTCTAGTTTTGAGGATTTCGTTGGAAGCGGGAATTCATACAAATTGCAGACTGCAGCGTTCTGAGAAACATCTTTGTGATGTTTGTATTCAGGACACAGAGTTGAACATTCCCTATCATAGAGCAGGTTGGAATCACTCCTTTTGTAGTATCTGGAAGTGGACATTTGGAGCGCTTTCAGGCCTATGTTGGAAAAGGAAATATCTTCCCATAACAACTAGACAGAAGCATTCTCAGAAACTTATTTGAGATGTGTGTACTCAACTAAGAGAATTGAACCACCGTTTTGAAGGAGCAGTTTTGAAACTCTCTTTTTCTGGAATCTGCAAGTGGATATTTGGCTAGCTTTGGGGATTTCGCTGGAAGCGGGAATACATATAAAAAGCACACAGCCAGCGTTCTGAGCAAACTGCTTTCTGATGTTTGCATTCAAGTCAAAAGTTGAACACTCCCTTTCATAGAGCAGTCTTGAAACACCCCTTTTGTAGTATCTGGAACTGGACTTTTGGAGCGATTTCAGGGCTAAGGTGAAAAAGGAAATATCTTCCCATAAAAACTGGACAGAAGCATTCTCAGAAACTTGTTTATGCTGTATCTACTCAACTAACAAAGTTGAACCTTTCTTTTGATAGAGCAGTTTTGAAATGGTCTTTTTGTGGAATCTGCAAGTGGATATTTGGCTAGTTTTGAGGATTTCGTTGGAAGCGGGAATTCATACAAATTGCAGACTGCAGCGTTCTGAGAAACATCTTTGTGATGTTTGTATTCAGGACACAGAGTATGAACATTCCCTATCATAGAGCAGGTTGGAATCACTCCTTTTGTAGTATCTGGAAGTGGACATTTGGAGCGCTTTCAGGCCTATGTTGAAAAAGGAAATATCTTCCCATAACAACTAGACACAAGCATTCTCAGAAACTTGTTTGTGATGTGTGCCCTCTACTGACAGAGTTGAACCTTTCTTTTCATAGAGCAGTTTTGAAACACTCTTTTTGTAGAATCTGCAAGAGGATATTTGCATAGCTTTGAGGATTTCGTGGGAAACGGGATTGTCTTCAGGTAAAATCTAGACAGAAGCATTCTCAGAAACTTCTTTGGGATGTTTGCATTCAAGTCACATAGTAGAACATTCCCTTTGGTAGAGCAGGTTTGAAACCCTCTTTTTGTAGTATCTGGAAGTGGACATTTGGAGCGCATTCAGGCCCATGTTGGAAAGGGAAATATCTTCCCGTAACAACTATGCAGAAGCATTCTCAGAAACTTATTTGAGATGTGTGTACTCAACTAAGAGAATTGAACCACCGTTTTGAAGGAGCAGTTTTGAAACACTCTTTTTCTGGAATCTGCAAGAGTATATTTGCCTAGCCTTGAGGATTTCGTTGGAAACCGGATTGTCTTCAGATAAAATCTAGACAAATGCATTCTCAGAAACTTCTTTGGGATGTTTGCATTCAAGTCACAGAGTAGAACATTCTCTTTGGTAGAGCAGGTTTGAAACACTCTTTTTTTAGTATCTGGAAGTGGACATTTGGAGCGCTTTCAGGCCTACGTTGGAAAAGGAAATATCTTCCCATAACAACTAGACAGAAGCATTCTCAGAAACTAGTTTCTGATGTGTGTCCTCAACTAACACAGTTGTACATTTCTTTAGACAGAACAGTTTTGAAACACTCTTTTTGTGGAATCTGCAAGTGGATATTGGGCTAGATTTGAGGATTTCGTTGGAAACGGGATTACATATAAAAAGCAGTCAGCAGCATTCTCAGAAAGTTCTTTGTGATGATTGCATTCAAGTCACAGAATTGAACATTCCCTTTCACAGAGCAGGTTTGAAACACTCTTTTTGTAGTGTGTGTAAGTGGACATTTGGAGCGCTTTCCGGCCTAAGGTGAAAAAGGACATATCTTACCATAAAAACCAGACAGAAGCATTGTCAGAAACTTACTCGTGATGTGTGTCCTCAACTAAAGGAGTAGAACCTTTCTATTCATAGAGAAGTTTTGAAACGCTCTTTTTGTGGAATCTCCAAGTGGATATTTGGCTAGTTTTGAGGATTTCGTTGGAAGCGGGAATTCATACAAATTGCAGACTGCAGCGTTCTGAGAAACATCGTTGTGATGTTTGTATTCAGGACACAGAGTTGAACATTCCCTATCATAGAGCAGGTTTGAATCACTCCTTTTGTAGTATCTGGAAGTGGACATTTGGAGCGCTTTCAGGCCTATGTTGGAAAAGGAAATATCTTCCCATAACAACTAGACAGAAGCATTCTCAGAAACTTATTTGAGATGTGTGTACTCAACTAAGAGAATTGAACCACCGTTTTGAAGGAGCAGTTTTGAAACTCTCTTTTTCTGGAATCTGCAAGTGGATATTTGGCTAGCTTTGGGGATTTCGCTGGAAGCGGGAATACATATAAAAAGCACACAGCAGCGTTCTGAGAAACTGCTTTCTGATGTTTGCATTCAAGTCAAAAGTTGAACACTCCCTTTCATAGAGCAGTCTTGAAACACCCGTTTTGTAGTATCTGGAACTGGACTTTTGGAGCGATTTCAGGGCTAAGGTGAAAAAGGAAATATCTTCCCATAAAAACTGGACAGAAGCATTCTCAGAAACTTGTTTATGCTGTATCTACTCAACTAACAAAGTTGAACCTTTCTTTTGATAGAGCAGTTTTGAAATGGTCTTTTTGTGGAATCTGCAAGTGGATATTTGGCTAGTTTTGAGGATTTCGTTGGAAGCGGGAATTCATACAAATTGCAGACTGCAGCGTTCTGAGAAACATCTTTGTGATGTTTGTATTAAAGACACAGAGATGAACATTCCCTATCATAGAGCAGGTTGGAATCACTCCTTTTGTAGTATCTGGAAGTGGACATTTGGAGCGCTTTCAGGCCTATGTTGAAAAAGGAAATATCTTCCCATAACAACTAGACACAAGCATTCTCAGAAACTTGTTTGTGATGTGTGCCCTCTACTGACAGAGTTGAACCTTTCTTTTCATAGAGCAGTTTTGAAACACTCTTTTTGTAGAATCCGCAAGAGGATATTTGCATAGCTTTGAGGATTTCGTGGGAAACGGGATTGTCTTCAGGTAAAATCTAGACCGAAGCATTCTCAGAAACTTCTTTGGGATGTTTGCATTCAAGTCACAGAGTAGAACATTCCCTTTGGTAGAGCAGGTTTGAAACACTCTTTTTGTAGTATCTGGAAGTGGACATTTGGAGCGCTTTCAGGCCCATGTTGGAAAGGGAAATATCTTCCCGTAACAACTAGGCAGAAGCATTCTCAGAAACTTATTTGAGATGTGTGTACTCAACTAAGAGAATTGAACCACCGTTTTGAAGGAGCAGTTTTGAAACACTCTTTTTCTGGATTCTGCAAGAATATATTTGCCTAGCCTTGAGGATTTGGTTGGAAACGGGATTGTCTTCAGATAAAATCTAGACAGAAGCATTCTCAGAAACTTCTTTGGGATGTTTGCATTCAAGTCACAGAGTAGAACATTCCCTTTGGTAGAGCAGGTTTGAAACACTCTTTTTTTAGTATATGGAAGTGGACATTTGGAGCGCTTTCAGGCCTACGTTGGAAAAGGAAATATCTTCCCATAACAACTAGACAGAAGCATTCTCAGAAACTAGTTTGTGATGTGTGTCCTCAACTAACACAGTTGTACATTTCTTTAGACAGAACAGTTTTGAAACACTCTTTTTGTGGAATCTGCAAGTGGATATTGGGCTAGATTTGAGGATTTCGTTGGAAACGGGATTACATATAAAAAGCAGTCAGCAGCATTCTCAGAAAGTTCTTTGTGATGATTGCATTCAAGTCACAGAATTGAACATTCCCTTTCACAGAGCAGGTTTGAAACACTCTTTTTGTAGTGTGTGTAAGTGGACATTTGGAGCGCTTTCCGGCCTAAGGTGAAAAAGGACATATCTTCCCATAAAAACTAGACAGAAGCATTCTCAGAAACTTACTCGTGATGTGTGTCCTCAACTAAAGGAGTAGAACCTTTCTATTCATAGAGAAGTTTTGAAACGCTCTTTTTGTGGAATCTCCAAGTGGATATTTGGCTAGTGTTGAGGATTTCGTTGGAAGCGGGAATTCATACAAATTGCAGACTGCAGCGTTCTGAGAAACTGCTTTCTGATGTTTGCATTCAAGTCAAAAGTTGAACACTCCCTTTCATAGAGCAGTCCTGAAACACTCCTTTTGTAGTATCTGGAACTGGACTTTTGGAGCGCTTTCAGGGCTAAGGTGAAAAAGGAAATATCTTCCCATAAAAACTGGACAGAAGCATTCTCAGAAACTTGTTTATGCTGTATCTACTCAACTAACAAAGTTGAACCTTTCTTTTGATAGAGCAGTTTTGAAATGCTCTTTTTGTGGAATCTGCAAGTGGATATTTGGCTAGTTTTGAGGATTTCGTTGGAAGCTGGAATTCATACAAATTGCAGACTGCAGCGTTCTGAGAAACATCTTTGTGATGTTTGTATTCAGGACAGAGTTGAACATTCCCTATCATAGAGCAGGTTGGAATCACTCCTTTTGTAGTATCTGGAAGTGGACATTTGGAGCGCTTTCAGGCCTATGTTGAAAAAGGAAATATCTTCCCATAACAACTAGACACAAGCATTCTCAGAAACTTGTTTGAGATGTGTGCCCTCTACTGACAGAGTTGAACCTTTCTTTTCATAGAGCAGTTTTGAAACACTCTTTTTGTAGAATCTGCAAGAGGATATTTGCATAGCTTTGAGGATTTCGTGGGAAACGGGATTGTCTTCAGGTAAAATCTAGACAGAAGCATTCTCAGAAACTTCTTTGGGATGTTTGCATTCAAGTCACAGAGTAGAACATTCCCTTTGGTAGAGCAGGTTTGAAACACTCTTTTTGTAGTATCTGGAAGTGGACATTTGGAGCGCTTGCAGGCCCATGATGGAAAGGGAAATATCTTCCCGTAACAACTAGGCAGAAGCATTCTCAGAAACTTATTTGAGATGTGTGTACTCAACTAAGAGAATTGAACCACCGTTTTGAAGGAGCAGTTTTGAAACACTCTTTTTCTGGAATCTGCAAGAGGATATTTGCCTAGCCTTGAGGATTTCGTTGGAAACGGGATTGTCTTCAGATCAAATCTAGACAGAAGCATTCTCAGAAACTTCTTTGGGATGTTTGCATTCAAGTCACGGAGTAGAACATTCCCTTTGGTAGAGCAGGTTTGAAACACTCTTTCTTTAGTATATGGAAGTGGACATTTGGAGCGCTTTCAGGCCTACGTTGGAAAAGGAAATATCTTCCCATAACAACTAGACAGAAGCATTCTCAGAAACTAGTTTCTGATGTGTGTCCTCAACTAACACAGTTGAACATTTCTTTAGACAGAACAGTTTTGAAACACTCTTTTTGTGGAATCTGCAAGTGGCTATTTGGCTAGATTTGAGGATTTCGTTGGAAACGGGATTACATATAAAAAGCAGACAGCAGCATTCTCAGAAAGTTCTTTGTGATGATTGCATTCAAGTCACAGAATTGAACATTCCCTTTCACAGAGCAGGTTTGAAACACTCTTTTTGTAGTGTGTGTAAGTGGACATTTGGAGCACTTTCCGGCCTAAGGTGAAAAAGGAAATATCTTCCCATAAAAACTAGACAGAAGCATTCTCAGAAACTTACTCGTGATGTGTGTCCTCAACTAAAGGAGTAGAACCTTTGTTTTCATAGAGAAGTTTTGAAACGCTCTTTTTGTGGAATCTGCAAGTGGATATTTGGCTAGTTTGGAGGATTTCGTTGGAAGCGGGAATTCATACAAATTGCAGACTGCAGCGTTCTGAGAAACATCTTTGTGATGTTTGTATTCAGGACACAGAGTTGAACGTTCCCTATCATAGAGCAGGTTTGAATCACTCCTTTTGTAGTATCTGGAAGTGGACATTTGGAGCGCTTTCCGGCCTCAGGTGAAAAAGGAAATATCTTCCCATAAAAACTAGACAGAAGCATTCTCAGAAACTTACTCGTGATGTGTGTCCTCAACTAAAGGGGTAGAACCTTTCTTTTGATAGAGCAGTTTTGAAACACTCTTTTTGTAGAATCTGCAAGTGGATATTTCGATAGCTTTGTGGATTTCGTTGGAAACGGGAATATCTTCATATAAAATCTAGAGAGAAGCATTCTCAGAAACTTATTTGAGATGTGTGTACTCAACTAAGGAGAATTGAACCACCGTTTTGAAGGAGCAGTTTTGAAACACTCTTTTTCTGGAATCTGCAAGTGGATATTTGGCTAGCTTTGGGGATTTCGCTGGAAGCGGGAATACATATAAAAAGCACACAGCAGCGTTCTGAGAAACTGCTTTCTGATGTTTGCATTCAAGTCAAAAGTTGAACACTCCCTTTCATAGAGCAGTCTTGAAACACCCCTTTTGTAGTATCTGGAACTGGACATTTGGAGCGCTTTCAGGGCTAAGGTGAAAAAGGAAATATCTTCCCATAAAAACTGGACAGAAGCATTCTCAGAAACTTGTTTATGCTGTATCTGCTCAACTAACAAAGTTGAACCTTTCTTTTGATAGAGCGGTTTTGAAATGCTCTTTTTGTGGAATCTGCAAGTGGATATTTGGCTAGTTTTGAGGATTTCGTTGGAAGCGGGAATTCATACAAATTGCAGACTGCAGCATTCTCAGAAACTTATTTGAGATGTGTGTACTCAACTAAGAGAATTGAACCACCGTTTTGAAGGAGCAGTTTTGAAACTCTCTTTTTCTGGAATCTGCAAGTGGATATTTGGCTAGCTTTGGGGATTTCGCTGGAAGCGGGAATACATATAAAAAGCACACAGCAGCGTTCTGAGAAACTGCTTTCTGATGTTTGCATTCAAGTCAAAAGTTGAACACTCCCTTTCATAGAGCAGTCTTGAAACACCCCTTTTGTAGTATCTGGAACTGGACTTTTGGAGCGATTTCAGGGCTAAGGTGAAAAAGGAAATATCTTCCCATAAAAACTGGACAGAAGCATTCTCAGAAACTTGTTTATGCTGTATCTACTCAACTAACAAAGTTGAACCTTTCTTTTGATAGAGCAGTTTTGAAATGGTCTTTTTGTGGAATCTGCAAGTGGATATTTGGCTAGTTTTGAGGATTTCGTTGGAAGCGGGAATTCATACAAATTGCAGACTGCAGCGTTCTGAGAAACATCTTTGTGATGTTTGTATTCAGGACACAGAGTTGAACATTCCCTATCATAGAGCAGGTTGGAATCACTCCTTTTGTAGTATCTGGAAGTGGACATTTGGAGCGCTTTCAGGCCTATGTTGGAAAAGGAAATATCTTCCCATAACAACTAGACAGAAGCATTCTCAGAAACTTGTTTGTGATGTGTGCCCTCTACTGACAGAGTTGAACCTTTCTTTTCATAGAGCAGTTTTGAAACACTCTTTTTGTAGAATCTGCAAGAGGATTTTTGCATAGCTTTGAGGATTTCGTGGGAAACGGGATTGTCTTCAGGTAAAATCTAGACAGAAGCATTCTCAGAAACTTCTTTAGGATGTTTGCATTCAAGTCACAGAGTAGAACATTCCCTTTGGTAGAGCAGGTTTGAAACACTCTTTTTGTAGTATCTGGAAGTAGACATTTGGAGCGCTTTCAGGCCTATGTTGGAAAGGGAAATATCTTCCGGTAACAACTAGGCAGAAGCATTCTCAGAAACTTATTTGAGATGTGTGTACTCAACTAAGAGAATTGAACCACCGTTTTGAAGGAGCAGTTTTGAAACACTCTTTTTCTGGAATCTGCAAGAGGATATTTGCCTAGCTTTGAGGATTTCGTTGGAAACGGGATTGTGTTCAGATCAAATCTAGACAGAAGCATTCTCAGAAACTTCTTTGGGATGTTTGCATTCAAGTCACAGAGTAGAACATTCCCTTTGGTAGAGCAGGTGTGAAACACTCTTTTTTTAGTATATGGAAGTGGACATTTGGAGCGCTTTCAGGCCTACGTTGGAAAAGGAAATATCTTCCCATAACAACTAGACAGAAGCATTCTCAGAAACTAGTTTCTGATGTGTGTCCTCAACTAACACAGTTGAACATTTCTTTAGACAGAACAGTTTTGAAACACTCTTTTTGTGGAATCTGCAAGTGGCTATTTGGCTAGATTTGAGGATTTCGTTGGAAACGGGATTACATATAAAAAGCAGTCAGCAGCATTCTCAGAAAGTTCTTTGTGATGATTGCATTCAAGTCACAGTAATTGAACATTCCCTTTCACAGAGCAGGTTTGAAACACTCTTTTTGTAGTGTGTGTAAGTGGACATTTGGAGCACTTACCGGCCTAAGGTGAAAAAGGAAATAATCTTCCCATAAAAACTAGACAGAAGCATTCTCAGAAACTTACTCGTGATGTGTGTCCTCAACTAAAGGAGTAGAACCTTTCTTTTCATAGAGAAGTTTTGAAACGCTCTTTTTGTGGAATCTGCAAGTGGATATTTGGCTAGTTTTGAGGATTTCGTTGGAAGCGGGAATTCATACAAATTGCAGACTGCAGCGTTCTGAGAAACATCTTTGTGATGTTTGTATTCAGGACACAGAGTTGAACATTCCCTATCATAGAGCAGGTTTGAATCACTCCTTTTGTAGTATCTGGAAGTGGACATTTGGAGCGCTTTCAGGCCTATGTTGGAAAAGGAAATATCTTCCCATAACAACTAGACAGAAGCATTCTCAGAAACTTATTTGAGATGTGTGTACTCAACTAAGAGAATTGAACCACCGTTTTGAAGGAGCAGTTTTGAAACTCTCTTTTTCTGGAATCTGCAAGTGGATATTTGGCTAGCTTTGGGGATTTCGCTGGAAGCGGGAATACATATAAAAAGCACACAGCAGCGTTCTGAGAAACTGCTTTCTGATGTTTGCATTCAAGTCAAAAGTTGAACACTCCCTTTCATAGAGCAGTCCTGAAACACCCCTTTTGTAGTATCTGGAACTGGACTTTTGGAGCGATTTCAGGGCTAAGGTGAAAAAGGAAATATCTTCCCATAAAAACTGGACAGAAGCATTCTCAGAAACTTGTTCATGCTGTATCTACTCTACTAAAAAAGTTGAACCTTTCTTTTGATAGAGCAGTTTTGAAATGCTCTTTTTGTGGAATCTGCAAGTGGATATTTGGCTAGATTTGAGGATTTCGTTGGAAGCTGGAATACATACAAATTGCAGACTGCAGCGTTCTGAGAAACATCTTTGTGATGTTTGTATTCAGGACACAGAGTTGAACATTCCCTATCATAGAGCAGGTTGGAATCACTCCTTTTGTAGTATCTGGAAGTGGACATTTGGAGCGCTTTCAGGCCTATGTTGAAAAAGGAAATATCTTCCCATAACAACTAGACACAAGCATTCTCAGAAACTTGTTTGTGATGTGTGCCCTCTACTGACAGAGTTGAACCTTTCTTTTCATAGAGCAGTTTTGAAACACTCTTTTTGTAGAATCTGCAAGAGGATATTTGCATAGCTTTGAGGATTTCGTGGGAAACGGGATTGTCTTCAGGTAAAATCTAGACAGAAGCATTCTCAGAAACTTCTTTGGGATGTTTGCATTCAAGTCACAGAGTAGAACATTCCGTTTGGTAGAGCAGGTTTGAAACACTCTTTTTGTAGTATCTGGAAGTGGACATTTGGAGCGATTTCAGGCCTATGTTGGAAAGGGAAATATCTTCCCTTAACAACTAGGCAGAAGCATTCTCAGAAACTTATTTGAGATGTGTGTACTCAACTAAGAGAATTGAACCAACGTTTTGAAGGAGCAGTTTTGAAACACTCTTTTTTCTGGAATCTGCAAAAGGATATTTGCCTAGCTTTGAGGATTTCGTTGGAAACGGGATTGTCTTCAGATAAAATCTAGACAGAAGCATTCTCAGAAACTTCTTTGGGATGTTTGCATTCAAGTCACAGAGTAGAACATTCCCTTTGGTAGAGCAGGTTTGAAACACTCTTTTTTTAGTATATGGAAGTGGACATTTGGAGCGCTTTCAGGCCTACGTTGGAAAAGGAAATATCTTCCCATAACAACTAGACAGAAGCATTCTCAGAAACTAGTTTCTGATGTGTGTCCTCAACTAACACAGTTGAACATTTCTTTAGACAGAACAGTTTTGAAACACTCTTTTTGTGGAATCTGCAAGTGGCTATTTGGCTAGATTTCAGGATTTCGTTGGAAACGGGATTACATATAAAAAGCAGTCAGCAGCATTCTCAGAAAGTTCTTTGTGATGATTGCATTCAAGTCACAGAATTGAACATTCCCTTTCACAGAGCAGGTTTGAAACACTCTTTTTGTAGTGTGTGTAAGTGGACATTTGGAGCACTTACCGGCCTAAGGTGAAAAAGGAAATATCTTCCCATAAAAACTAGACAGAAGCATTCTCAGAAACTTACTCGTGATGTGTGTCCTCAACTAAAGGAGTAGAACCTTTCTTTCATAGAGAAGTTTTGAAACGCTCTTTTTGTGGAATCTGCAAGTGGATATTTGGCTAGTTTGGAGGATTTCGTTGGAAGCGGGAATTCATACAAATTGCAGACTGCAGCGTTCTGAGAAACTGCTTTCTGATGTTTGCATTCAAGTCAAAAGTTGAACACTCCCTTTCATAGAGCAGTCTTGAAACACCCCTTTTGTAGTATCTGGAAGTGGACATTTGGAGCGCTTTCAGGGCTAAGGTGAAAAAGGAAATATCTTCCCATAAAAACTGGACAGATAATAAAGACAGTTTTATTTCTTTTGTTCCAATCTGTATAGCTTTTACTTCTTTTTCTGGAATCTGCAAGTGGATATTTGGCTAGCTTTGGGGATTTCGCTGGAAGCGGGAATACATATAAAAAGCACACAGCAG